>NC_000016.10:59714015-60017045 GCF_000001405.40 Homo sapiens
TCAAATGGTTGAGAGGCATTTGTGCTTCTTTTTATTTGAACTGTCCAAGTTTTTATAGCACTGCTAGCATTTTTCTTCTCTATTCTTGAGGTGCTCTTTGTATATCTGGGATATGAATACTTCATGAAATAAGTGGCAAATAGTTTCTCCCACTGTGTTATTTGGCTTTTTACTTTGCTTATGTCATTTTAATTAATTAAATTTTTCGGTCATCTCATCTTTTAAAAGCTGGTTTCTTTCACTGGCTCTGATGAAAACTAGTTTCTTAATCTCTTGGGACTCTTTTAAGGGTTGGTTTCAATCCCTTCCAGCCCAACATTATAAACAGAGATTCTATTTGCTTTGTGTCCATATTCAATGAGGGTAAGCTGAGATTTATAGAATGTTTTCCACGTGAGACACTTTGTGCTTCCAGACACTTAATTAAAACCAAAAAAGGTTATGATATCTTCTCTGGCTTTCCCATTACCCATATAAAGTGATGCGATTGGCATCTGACAATTTAAGGATTTGATATTAATTATTTAAGCTTCCCAAAGAATGTGCTATTCCTTCGTAGCTATGCATAATAATTTTGCTGTAAAAAAAGTGGAATGTCACATGGAGGAGGATTACCTGTGTTACCTGTGGGGCTAATGTTGCTGAACAATGCTAACAGAGATCTGTGCATGTCACCCATGGGAAGAAAATAGTCCTGAGATTTCCAGCTAATCTTGAGCAATGAATTATCACCCATAATTTTTTTCCTTGGGTGGGTATATTTTTATTGCTAATTATCTTTATAATGTCATAATCTGATGGCACTGAGTTTCATATTTTGCTTCTCCTTTGCAAATAATTTATTTTTGTATTTGGAATTAAGTATGCACAATATGAAAGCACAATTAATTGATCACACGGCAAAATATACACATAGTTCCCTTTTAGTTTGACAATAAAAATATTAAAAAGACTTCATTAATTATCTACAAACAAAACACTGTACACATTTAAATGACATAAATTTCTCTATCCCCTGTCTCTATCTTATAAAAATAATTTGAAATCTAGTTAGACAGATAAATTATATGTTGTTGTTTCAGACATATGTCTTTAGACATCTTAATAGGCAAACTAAAAGGGATATTTACTATCTTAACATTTTGAAATTAGACAATTTTTGATTTTGCAATTAAGTACATCTTTCAAAACAAATATGAGAAAACTAGTTTTGGTTTTTAGCCTGATAATAATAATGCTAAACATTATAAAGGTAATTTGCAGCTTTCATGAAGGCACTTTATGTATTTGACCATGTTTTCCTGAGACTGAGATTGCTAAATCATTGAAGCAGCTTTTTCATAGAGCCTGAAACATTCACATGTAAAAGTCTGATCCTACATCCACCATTTTCAAGAGAAAGTATGTTTTGTACTTCTTACTATGATGACTGTGACTTAAAGAAACACAAACAGGAATATTAGACATATTGGTTAGAAATTTGATTTGTTCTGAACTTGGTGATTTATTTGTTTGATCTGAGGCAAACTAGGTGTTTGATATGTTTTTTTTTTTTTTTTCTTTTTCTCCAATTCATCTAGCTAAATGAGGACTGTTTCAAGTGGTTAAGTAGAGTCTTTGTGTTTTTGCCTTTTAGGCTCATCTTAATTTATTAAAAGGGTAACTGATTATGATTTTTTACTTATGTTGCTGTTTCCTTTTGATTTATTATTTACTGTGCCATCTAAAATTTTTAAAAAAAATATGCTTTCATAAGGCTATTGGTTTCCATAATATTTAATAATGTAGGTATAGGTCTCAGATATTTGTGATGCCCAAAATTAACAATTTATTGTATCATTTTTACTATGGAAGTAACCAGTAAATATCAATAATGTTTTTCTGGTAAGAAATTCATATAGAGATAACTCCTATTCTGAACACTGTACTGTATATTTGTCTTATTATATTTAATCTTTACAAGGACCCTATGAATTTTCCCAGTTTTCATTTGCACAAACTAAGTCTCAGAAATTAACCAAGTTTACACTCCTATTAAATAGACAAGTTAGGAATTGGCTGCATAAAGTTTAGTTCCAGAGTCTATGACTTAACTAACACAGAGACCACATTACTTTACTTTGAATCAATTAGTCCATTTCCCCATCACATTTGAAATGAAATGCGTGTTTAAATTTTAAAAATTTGTGAAGATATTCTGTTGTGGATTATCACCACATATCAACGTCATTCAAAAAGTCAATCTATTGATAATGACCATGGTTGTGACCAGGATAAATTAAGATCTACTGACTATAAGATACATTTTGCCAGAATGAACTCCATTAAAATTAATTTTCAATGAGTAGAAAGATGAGGATGGGTTTATTTTTAGATTTAAAGGAAGCAGTCAGACTCCAAATCTCAAAATAATATCACTGTAAAATTGGAATTTCTATAATGAAAACATTTGCTAAGATTTGCATTTAATTCAGTATTTCAATAGCAGGTTATATGGTAATCAAAATTCCACAGGAAATGATGTGAATTTCACTAAACTGGTAGTGGAAACTTTTGGAGAGGTGACGTCTCTGCTTTGTTCATTATTCTGCCTCCAATGTTTTGCACAATGGCTGTCTTGTTATAAGAACTTAGCTGAATCCAAGTAAGTAATTGATATATTATTAATAATTGATCATTAATCATCATCTTTAACTCTAGTCCAGCAGCTCCCTGGCTTCTGATCATTTTTGTTATTCCTACTGGGATCATTCCTTGGGCTACATTCATGGTCCTATTAGATTTTCCCTTCACTCTGATCCTCAGAATTTTCTAGGACAGAGGTTTTATTTAATCCTTTGGGGCTTTCTAGTTCTAAACTTTGAATGACCATTTATGCCTCTGGAAATATCAGCCTAATATTAGTACCCTGACCAGAAGCCCTGCTAGGTTCACTCCTACAAAATATCAGAGACTATCAGAAAGAACTTGACAACTACAAAGAACTATACAAGGAATGTCTACTTGCAAACCAGAAAAGCCACTGCTAGTCTGGGTTGTTTTCTGCGTTTTTTTCCCCTAACTATGAAAACCTTATTTAATAGAGTTAAATGACACTACTTAACTCACAGTGAAATGTATTGATTTTCTCTGCTTCTGCAAAGGTGACCTCTAGGCAATGGTAGACTCCAAATTACAGCAAGGCAAACAAGTATTATAGGTTTAACTCAGCAGTTTGAAACCTATCAGCCAGTTAATTCCCACCTCTCTTTACAGTCCATTAAATAGTCTATTTTTAATTGAAGTTATAATATTTATTTTCTCATTCTCACCTGTTTGGGTATGCTACATTTCTTTGGTAATTTCTCTAGAGATTTTTGCTTGGATTAAATTTTTTTTTCCATTATCCTCAGTACATTTGTCCTTTTTTCAAGTGTGTTTGGAATCAATTGTCTAGAATTTAGAATAAACTCTTTTGAAAAATGGAAAAGACCTCATAACTCTAAGTGAGGCAAACAAACCAAACCCTTCATTGTTCAGTACAGGAAATAGAAACATCCTTGCTATGGAGGAGAAAGTTAGTATAACTAAAATATCTGATCCTAAGTTTCAACTCACGTAATTAAAATGTGAGGATTTACTTGTTCTCACTGTCAAAAGTATTAGAATGAAATGACTATCCAGACTGTTAAAAAAAAAATTATGAGTGATGACTGAATATTTGTAAAATACAATGCACTGTATACATTTGTTCTTAATCATAGATCTAATAATTAATTTCTACCTCTAATACTACTTAAAGTAAGAAATTTTGTTTTGGTGTATTTTATAATCAGAATTTCAGCTTTGAGTGTGATTTGTAACTACAAAGAAGAAATTACGTTTAGGCTGATTTTTATTGTAATACAAGTTGAGTAGCCTTTATCAGAAATGTGTGGGACCAGAAGAGTTTCAGATTTCAATTTGTTTTCAGATTTTGGAATATTTGCATAAACATAATAAAAGATGTTGGGCACGGGACCCAAGTCTAAACATGGAATTTGTTTGTTTTGTATATACCTTATACATATAGACTGAAGGTAATTTTATACAACATTTTAAATAACTTTGTGCCTGAAACAAAATTTGTGTACATCGAATTATCAGAAAGCAAAAGTGTCACTATCTTAGCCACCCGTGTAAACAATCGGTGATTGTTTGGCATCACCATCATTTCTGATTTTGAATTTATATATACTACTGATAAGCAATCATCTTCTTACACTTATTCACACATAAGTACTTAACAGTAAAAAATATATGACATACCGTTAACATAGTGAAAAAATGACGTGTTCATTTTTCTGGTAGCTCATGCTTGCTTCCCAGCACTTTGGGATGGCAAGTCGGGTGGATCACTTGAGCCCAGGAGTTGGAGAACAGCCTGGGCAACAAGGTGAAACCCCATTTCTACAAAAATTACAAAAATTAGTTGAGTGCCATGGTGCACACCTGTAGTCCCATCTACTTGGGAGGCTGAGGTAGGAAGAGCCCTTGGGCCCACAAGGTCGAGGCTGCAGCCAGCCATGGTCACGCCACTGCACTCCAGCCTGGGTGACAGAGTTCGACCTTGTCTCAAAATGAAAACAAAAGCAAAAACAAAACAACAACGACAACAACAAAACGTGTTCAGGGTATTAAGTGGCACAGTAGCATCCTCAGAATAACTGTATGTGTGTTAAACAATAGCAACAGCAAACAACGGCAGGCTTTCAGTCTCCACCTATGATGCTATGTTTTGGTAAAAAGGTTACTGTGCATTGTATTATTATTATTATCTTTAGGTGAGAAGAAACACCAGAAGCAGTTGAGGGACCAGGACGAGGGCTCTCTTGATTCCTAAAGGGATAAGGAAGCTTTCTGCTAGATGGTTTTTTAAAGTGTTTCCACCAGAGTCACCTGTCATGTTAACAATGATTTTTTTTATTTTTATTTTTTTTAGAATTCCTGTCTTTGATTTTATAAACTGTCATGATTCCTTGTTCTGCTATGAATGCATGCTGCTCTAGTCCCTCAATAAGCCCATCATCTGTCTTCACTAAATCATCTACAGGCACTTTTTCAGCGTTAACAATGTCACATGAGGTCGGGTGTAGAGTTTTCCACCTTTGGCATCATGTTGGCTCTCAAAAATTTTCAGATATTGCATCATTTCAGATTTTGTAGTTTTAGATTAAGGATGCTCAACTTGTAACATAAAAATATTTAGTTAATTGAATTAATCCAGTTTCTAAACGGAGAGTCATGCAATATGTTGTAATATGGAATGACACTAATACAGTGTTAGAAGTATTACTCATTTATTTGGCAAGCCTTTCTTCAGTTTTTCCTGTAAGCCAAGACCTATCTCTTGTTCTTCAACACTTAGAATTCAATGTGCAAGCAGACAGACTGGCTTCTACCCCCAAAGTTCTGAGCCTTGGCAACCTCTTCATTAGTAAAACAGCTATATAATCATCATCTTTTATAATTATATACTGTGTTCTAGTTTTTAATGTGAATTCGCACCTGTTGTCTCATTTTATTATTACTTGGCGTTCAAGCACCTTATACACAGGCCATTACTGAATACAATCCTGGATGGTTAGCAGGGGATAGGATAAATGAAAATATGAATAAAAATAAAATAAGAATAAATAATTGACCAAAACAATCCCTCCTGATAAGTCAGAAGTAGTTTACAGATTCCTTGGGTTTTTCCTGTTTTGTAGTTTCCAGAAATTTCCAAATAGGAAATTTACTTTATATTGATCTGGTGTTATCCATGTTTTCATTTTTGTAATTAACCTCACTGATATAACTCCTTTTTATATTAGGTGTATTATTTTAAATACTGTATACTTTGGATAGTTACCCATGCAGACATGTCAATTTGCTTGGAAATTTCTTGTTTTTCTTTTTTTATTTATTAGCATCATTCTGACTTTAATTTTTGACATAATTCATAGAAAGAGGTCATTGAAACATTCATTATGTAATGAATAAGGGAAGCAATGAACATTTAGCTTTATATATATATAATTTATAATTTTTACATACTGCCTCCTTTTATTCCATAATATTTCTGTATGTGGTATATTAACTTTTTTTCAGTGTCTTATGGCCATTTAAATCAAATAGCACTGATATATCTATGTTTAGTAGCATGTATTTGAATGTTTAATACATATATTTGAAAATTTGAGTGAAGAAGTTAGAATCTGGTTTCAAAGCAAATATTTAAAGTGATGGTTTCTGGGAATAATTAATTTTTAAAAAGACTATCAAATATGTCAGTTATAAATAAATTGCAGCTTTGGAGACAATGAGGTGTTTGTATTATAATACAAATACTTTGAAATATTCCTAACTAAAAATAAATATTAGAGATAAGTTGTTAATATAAGTATGGCTGTAGTGTGGATTGCTAAAAAGGGAACTGGATTAGCTGTCAGGAGACCTGGTTTCTCAGGTTGGTTCATCCCTTGATTTTAGGCAAGTCATGGGAGTTCTCCAGGCATCAGTTTTTTTAATCCAAAAATCAGGATTTAATAAATACACTATGATTCTTATCTAGTTCATTTAGTGCATTATTCAATGATCCCCACATTAAATGTTAAGTAGTGGTTATAATAGTAAATTCTCATACATTGAGAGAAAAATAATATGTGCAATACTAGACCAAAAATATGTGGACTACTAAACCATCAATGACTATTGGAAAAATGCAAAAATTATTATGATATATTGCAGAAATAACCATAAATTATCATCCTCCCTGTAATAATGACTTTACAGTGTGACTTCCCAGATCCTACTTTAAAAGGTCAAGTCTATTTTCCAATTTCTTGAATTTGTGCTGGTTGTGTGACTTGCTCCAGTCAACACAATGCAGTAGAAGCAGCATTGTACCAGTTGAGAGTTTAAGCTCCAAAAGGTCTTGCAAATTTCTAGCCTCTCTATTGCAACTCTGAGAAGAACCCCAGGCTGCAGCATGGATGAATGGCCATATTGATCAGATAGTAATCATCCCAACCATGTGTGCACGCCCAGCCCAAATTGGCACAGGTACCCAAGCTGCTGACTGCAGATGCCTGAGCGAGCCCAGCAGAGACCAGAAGAACCACCTCACTTCACCAAGCCTAAAATTCTAACCCCAAAATAATGAGCTGAATATATATTTTTAATAAACCACTACACTTTGAGATGTTTTTCTATGCCGCAAAAGATAACTGGTGCAGCTATGAAGTCCTAATTTCTCCCAAATACAATAAAAGTTACTGTAGAATAGATGCAGATATTAGATGGAATCATATTTTGCCCTCAATATTTTATATCTGGTCACTGTTATAAAAAAGTGATCTCCATAGTATAAGAAAGTGGTAACATTCTATAAGAAGGAAACAAGATAGGAGAAGGAAAGTCATAGAGTAAGACTGTGTGGTGACAAAAGTTAATAAGTACATGTTGTATACTTTAAAATTACTATAAGAGTAGATTTTAAATGCTGTCACCACAATAAATAAGTAGATGAGATGATGGATATGCTAATTATTTTGATTTAATCATCTTACAATGTATACATGTATGAAAACATCACATTGTAGTCCATAAATCTCTACAATTATTATTATTAATTAAAAATAAAATAAAAAACCGAGCCCAACAAACAAAATTGTTGAAATAAAGATTGTTCCTATTACTAGGCCAGATTACTTCTTTTTCTATTGCTGGAAAATAGAGGAAATACTCAATTTATTGAGACAAAATAAGTCAACTCCTTGCTACTCTTAAATACTTCTTTCTTGCTTCAGTCTTGCTGACTTTTATTTCCAGTAGTCCTCCAAGATGATTTATTACAAAATGTTGTGTGGTTATATATTATCGTGTATGGCAAATGTGATTTGTTTTGAATTTTTGTTGCTTTTATAATTAGGAAGAGAACTTATATCTCTGTTAGTGTAATTCAATTTTGTGGACATGACTTGACAGGAACTATCTTTCCCATGCTACAAAGTTAAATAACAGATTGCATAAAACTGTGAAAAGTAAAAGCTCTTTCAACATATTAGTGAGAAAATATTCCATGAGCCAAGAAGAGCATATACATTTTAATATAATACACATGTAATCTGGGTTTTTCTAAAATTATTTCATATCTAATAACTGTTCTGTTATACTCACATAATATATTTTATGATCATCAGACAATGTGTGATGTTTTTGTTTGGAAAGATATAGCCATTGTATATTAACTATTATATAACATTAAGATGAATATATTTGCATCAAAGAAAAATATTTTTTAAAATGGAAATGTTGATAGGTTATATTGGTATAGATTCTCCAGAGAAATGGAATCAATAGGAGATTTGGAAATTGGTTAATGTAATCAAAAAAGTTTCATCATCTGCTTTTTCCAAGCTGGAGAATCAGGTAAGCCAGTGCAATTTCGTATAAGTCCAAAGACCTGAGAACTGGGTTGGGCCGCTGGTTTAAGTCCCAGATTTCAAAAGCTTGAAAACCAGGATCTCTGTTATCTTGGGGCAGGAGAAGATGGATGCACCAGCTAAAGAGGAGGGAATAAATTTACTTTTCCTCCACCTTTTTGTCCTAAGAGTGCCTCAGTGGAATCTATGATGTCTGCCTACATTGGTGAGGGTGATCTTCTTTACTCAGTCGGCCAATTCAAATGCTAATCTCTTTTGGAAACACCCTCACAGATACACCTGGAAATAATGTTTTGTTAGCTATCTAGATATCCCTTACCCCTGTCAAATTTATATGTATATTAACCATCTGAAGTCTACTCCTTCTTAACTTGGCACCCATATCCATTTCCTTAAACCATATCTAATTTCCAAATAAAGACAATAACAGGGTTATAATTCCACCTCTCATGATAGAACTGTCCTGTGTACAACTCAAAACACAGTAACCCCTTTCCAGAAAGAGCAGTCAAAATCCTTGAATAATGTTTACTCTTCTTCTGATAGCAATACATCTTACATTACATAGTAAGGGAATATGAGAGGAAATAGAACAAAGATATTTCTTAATATGCGTATATATACACACAAACATACTTACAACAAAATAAAGAGAAAATACTCATGACAATTACAATCCCCATTTCTATAACTGGTCCTATGGTTATAGCTGGTATTTATAACTACTTTCCAATAGCCAATTTATTTTCCCATTGCCTTCAGTAAACACCTCCGCTTGTTGCAGTTCTTTTTTTATTTTATTTTATTATTATTATACTTTAAGTTTTAGGGTACATGTGCACAATGTGCAGGTTACTTACATATGTATACATGTGCCGTGTTGGTGTGCTGCACCCATTAACTCATCATTTAGCATTAGGTATATGTCCTAAAGCTATCCCTCCCCCCTCCCCCCACCCCATAAAAGTCCCCAGAGTGTGATGTTCCCCTTCCTGTGTCCATGTGTTCTCATTGTTCAATTCCCACCTATGGGTGAGAATATGCGGTGTTTGGTTTTTTGTTCTTGTGATAGTTTACTGAGAATGATGATTTCTCATTTCATCCATGTCCCTACAAAGGACATGAACTCATCATTTTTTATGGCTGCATAGTAATCCATGGTGTATATGTGCCACATTTTCTTAATCCAGGCTATCATTGTTGGACATTTGGGTTGGTTCCAAATCTTTGCTATTGTGAATAGTGCCGCAATAAACATACGCGTGCATGTGTCTTTATAGCAGCATGATTTATAGTCCTTTGGGTATATACCCAGTAATGGGATGGCTGGGTCAAATGGTATTTCTAGTTCTAGATCCCTGAGGAATCGCCACACTGACTTCCACAAGGGTTGAACTAGTTTACAGTCCCACCAACAGTGTAAAAGTGTTCCTATTTCTCCGCATCCTCTCTAGCACCTGTTGTTTCCTGACTTTTTAATGATTGCCATTCTAACTGGTGTGAGATGGTATGTCATTGTGGTTTTGATTTGCATTTCTCTGATGGCCAGTGATGGTGAGCATTTTTTCATGTGTTTTTTTGGCTGCATAAATGTCTTCTTTTGAGAAGTGTCTGTTCATCCCCTTCGCACACTTTTTGATGGGGTTGTTTGTCTTTTTCCTGTAAATTTGTTTGAGTTCATTGTAGATTCTGGATATTAGCCCTTTGTCAGATGAGTTGGTTGCGAAAATTTTCTCCCATTTTGTAGGTTGCCTGTTCACTCTGATGGTAGTTTCTTTTGCTGTGCAGAAGCTCTTTAGTTTAATTAGATCCCATTTGTCAATTTTGGCTTTTGTTGCCATTGCTTTTGGTGTTTTAGACATGAAGTCCTTGCCTGTGCCTATGTCCTGAATGGTAATGGCTAGGTTTTCTTCTAGAGTTTTTATGGTTTTAGGTCTAACGTTTAAGTCTTTAATCCATCTTGAATTAATTTTTGTATAAGGTGTAAGGAAGGGATCCAGTTTCAGCTTTCTACATATGGGTAGCCAGTTTTCCCAGCACCATTTATTAAATAGGGAATCCTTTCCCCATTGCTTGTTTGTCTCAGGTTTGTCAAAGATCAGATAGTTGTAGATATTTCTGAGGGCGTTATTTCTGAGGGCTCTGTTCTGTTCCATTGATCTATATCTCTGTTTTGGTACCAGTACCATGCTGTTTTGGTTACTGTCGCCTTGTAGTATAGTTTGAAGTCAGGTAGCGTGATGCCTCCAGCTTTGTTCTTTTGGCTTAGGATTGACTTGGTGGTGCGGGCTGTTTTTTGGTTCCATATGAACTTTAAATTAGTTTTTTCCAATTCTGTGAAGAAAGTCATTGGTAGCTTGATGGGGATGGTATTGAATCTATAAATTACCTTGGACAGTATGGCCATTTTCATGAATTGATTCTTCTTACCCATGAGCATGGAATGTTCTTCCATTTGTTTCGTATCCTCTTTTATTTCATTGAGCAGTGGTTTGTAGTTCTCCTTGAAGAGGTCCTTCACATCCCTTGTAAGTTGGATTCCTAGGTATTTTATTCTCTTTGAAGCAATTGTGAATGGGAGTTCACTCATGATTTGGCTCTCTGTCTGTTATTGGTATAAGAATGCTTGTGATTTTTGTACATTGATTTTGCATCCTGAGACTTTGCTGAAGTTGCTTATGAGCTTAAGGAGATTTTGGGCTGAGACAATGGAGTTTTCTAGATATACAATCATGTCATCTGTAAACAGGGACAATTTGACTTCCTCTTTTCCTAATTGAATACCCTTTATTTCCTTCTCCTGCCTAATTGCCCTGGCCAGAACTTCCAACACTATGTTGAATAGGAGTGGTGAGAGAGGTCATCCCTGTCTTGTGCCAGTTTTCAAAGGGAATGCTTCCAGTTTTTGCCCATTCAGTATGATATTGGCTGTGGATTTGTCATAGATAGCTCTTATTATTTTGAGATACGTCCCATCAGTACCTACCTAATTTATTGAGAGTTTTTAGCATGAAGGGCTGTTGAATTTTGTCAAAGGCCTTTTCTGCATCTGTTGAGATAATCATGTGGTTTTTGTCTTTGGTTCTGTTTATATGCTGGATTACATTTATTGATTTGCATATATTGAGCCAGCCTTGCATCCCAGGGATGAAGCCTACTTGATCATGGTGGATAAGCTTTCTTTACTTGGCAGGATCACCCAAGCTTTCATTACTGAAGAGTCTGGGCCATTTGTTGTCTTTCCTGCATTGGGTTACTGTAGTTTTTATTGACCTTAATTACAAGCATGGTAAAATACTATCAGAAACCCTAAAGGATCTCCTGGGTTTCAGATACACTCTTCCTTACCTCCGTTGTGGAGTAGTGGTTCATTTTCCCCTTGGTGGACCAGATCAATCTCCCCAGGCATCATCACAACTGCTTTCTTTTCCTGTGGACTCAGAGGCATGAGGAACCCCAAGTGGCCAGGTGGCATCTTAACTTCCAGTTCAGTGGGATCACTGTTGTGTTTCCTGGAGGAACCATTCTTCCCTCTGAAACTAAGACCTCTAGGACAGCAGAGCCATGAGAACAGAAAGCAAAATTTTGCTAGTGGATCACTTGGGGTAACAGTGAGTGGTGCCACTCCAATTTCCACTCCTTTATTTCTGGATTTTTGCTTATATAAATAAAAAAACTCAAGTAGTTCTTTTGGAGTGTAGCACATTTCCTCATCACACTTTCTACCTTACATCTAGAAATCTTCTGGAACTTATTATACTATTACACTTATTAATATGTTTTATTATTGTCAGACAATATGTGTTGTTGCTGTTTGGAAAGACAAAGACATTTTATATTTACTATATAACATTAAGATGAATACATGTATATCAAAGAAAAATATTTTTTTGAAATAAAGATATTGAAAGGCAATAAGATATTCAGGGGAAAAGCTTAAAAATTAGCTTTGTGTTTGAGATGTAAATGATGCTTTACTTAACTACGGAATGGGACTCAATGCCACCTCCTGGGAAGTCAGTATGGAGGATAGGGAAGGGTGAAGAAGAGGAAGGTAAAAAAAAAAAAAAGGAGAGAGAAGAGAAGATTCTGAGATTAAAATATTAGAAGGAAAATGTAGAGAGAGGTCTGACAAGTAGTGACCACTGAGACAGGTTCAGTGGTGTAAGTAGATATGCAACTCAGAAAGAAGGAGAATGGGAAGGAATTGAAGACAAGGTGGAATGGCAGAAGTGAAAATGAAGAGAGTAGGACATTCTTTACTGGGGTTTGGTTATAAAAGGGAAAACAAAAAGATTAGAAAGCTGGAGGAGAAAGTAGTTTCGAAAGAAGTTTTAGTTTGGTTATTTTTAAAGGTGGAAGGTGTCAATGTCTTTATTTGCTAATAGAAGGATGAGAGAGAGAAAACTAAATTATACAGGAGAAAAAGGGGGTCATTTAGCAAGAAAATCATGGTTTAGATGAGAGCAGACAGGTTCTGGAATCATAAACTTTGCCAGTCGTTCTGCCAAGTCACTGAGCCCTTTACAGGACTGCACGGTATCTTTGAGGGGCCTTCTAGTTGTGATTCCCCAGTGCATTAGGTAGTGTCATTCTAAGGGGCAAAATGTCTCCTTAATAAAAATAATAGCACCAGGAAGGGTGCACAGGCATTAGTCCTTTCTGCCTACACATTCAAAGAGACTTTTATTTATAATTTTTCTTCAAAATTTGCATTTTCTCCTTTCTAAAAAAAAAAAACCTCTGTTAGGTAACAAATGTGTTTTTAGAATATTCTTAACTTAAAATTTTTTGTGTGTGTTATTGAGTACTTTAAGATTGTGGCTATAACAAATCATTACCTTAAAGGGTTTTATCATCAAATCTAGAGTGAATCTAAGGGAAAAAAGGAAGAAGAAGAGGATATAATACAAAAATCAGATGTCTTTTTAGATCAATGATCAAAGGCTGTGTTTTGACGCTTTTGAAAATATGAGTTGTTATTACTCATTCTCTCATAGTTGGTATTTTTGCTCCATAAAATACCTACTGTTTCTTAGACATAACACAAACATTTTATTGACTATTTGAACATTATGAATAAAAGTGACTCATTTGGCCTAAAAACATCTAATTTAGTTTTGATTTTCCCCCCTTCATTTTCCAAAAGTCTGTAACTTTTTTTTTGTTTTAAATAATCTCATCTCCATTTTTCGCTAATATCTTGAAAGTGAATCACATTCTCTATTTGTCTTTTTATATACTTCAGCTTTGAAATCTATGTTATAATCTAAAAAAATAGTTATGATAACCAAGTTTTAAAATTTGGATAAGAAAACGTTCTCAAGTTTACAGTTAATATCCCTGACGATGGAATTTCCATTAGGTGAGGTCCAAGGAAATGGGTGGATAAGAAAAACCCTTCAATGGTAGTGGCTCTGAGAGTCAGAATATGTAAATATGTAATTTCACAGTAAAAAAAAAAAAAGTTTTTGTGAGCATTCCGTGCATTGAACAGTATTTTCTAGAGTCACAGAATGTTAGAGATAAAAGGAATCTTAATGATTACTTATCTCCTTCAGTAGATAAGGAAACTGAGAACTAAGGAGTTCAGCGACTTTCACAAGATTACATATCTGGCTTAGGATGATTCTCCAGAAGGATGATGTTTTTACATAGAATTATTGTTTTAATGTCAGCAAGCAGGGTGAAAACCACCCTCAAAAAGCCTTTAAATCACTCATAAACTACAACATAGAACAAAGCATCTGCAAGTGGGTCAAGTAGAGCATTTTTCTCTTTTTCTTTTTTTTAGAATGGAAACATTACTTTCTCTCCTACTGAATCCCAAGGGAAGCAGTCATCTTGTTTCCAAAGGGCTGCATTGTACGTAAAAAAATTATACAAAATATCTGGGAAGTGAGACCAACTGAGGGGATAGTCCTGTTATGTTCTCTGGGTTAAGATGTGGGTTGAAATAAATCCACTCATTTGCCGTTAATTGATTTTTGACAAAGATGCTGAGAACACACAATGGGGAAAGGATAGTCATCAATAAATGCTGGTGAGAAAACTGGATATCCACATGCAGAAGAATGAATTAGACCCTTATCTCATAAGACGTTAAAAATAATCTGAAACTGTTAAATGACTAGAAGAAAACATAGGGGAAAATCTTCATGATGTTGGTCTGGGCAAAGATTTTATGGACATGACCCTTAAAGCACAGTCAACAATAGCAAAAACAAAACAAAACAGAAGAGAGGCAAGATTGCTGACTAGATCGGTTAGGAGGAACATCTGCCACCAAGGGACCCGGACACCAGGAAGGCTGGTACACTCCGAGAAGATCTTCAGAAGGAAGCCATTGAGAGTGGATGGAGGGAGGACACAGGGTGCATTGAAGTAGGAGGAAGCTAGGAACCCTACATGAGGCTACCATGCACTGGGACTCATTCCTAGCCCCCAACAACTGCTGGGGAGAGAGTGAGTTGAGCAGGTAAGGGGTGACCCATTCTCACTATGGACCTCTGGCATCCTGGCAGCAGGAGACCTCATAGCCCCATGGACACTTGAACTCTCAGGGAGAACTGCTTTGAGAGATAATAAGGGCAATATTCCAGCCTGTGCAGAGTCTGGAGGTTTTGTGTGGGTATGTCTGCAGGGACCACAGCCAAAGTTACCCATTTCTGAAGGCTTGCTTTGGAAGAGCAAGCCTTTCTCTAGGAGACTCTAGCCTTAGGGGAACTGTCAGACGTGAACTGAGGAACTGTCGGACGTGAACTGAGGAACTGTCAGACCTGAACTGAGCAGGGTGATCTTGCCTATGAGATGGGGCCAGTCTGATCTGAGTGCTCTTCTGTCTGCTGGCCTCTCCCAGGGCCTTATCCTGGTCATGCGTGCTTGCAGTCCAGCCTCAGATTCCCAAACAGGGTATATCCTAGGAGCCTGCATCATAGCTTCTGCACTGGTGGACCACACCTGACCATCAGAGAGCTCCAGCAGAGCAATCTCTACTGAATTGCACAAGGTCACTTCCACTCGCACCCCACCACAGCCTCCTCATGCCACTTTGCCAGTATGCACTTGCCCAAGGGATACCCTCTCTTCACTTTGCCAGTGCACGTGTGTATGAGAGCAGACCTCACCTCTCCTTCCCTGCCAGTTGTGAGTGTGTGTGCACCCCACTGTGCCATTGTTCCTAGCATGAGTGCACCCACCAGCCCCCTGCGGCTGCACTGCCATTGCCAGTGGGATCATGCAGAGGGACAGTGATGGCCCTGCCCTCTGCCTCATGCCACCATCATAGCTGGCATGAATACACACATGGAGGCCTCCAGCCCTGTGGCCACTGGTGCCTTGCCCCTGTGCTGACACTGCTACTGGTGTGAATGCAAACATGGACCCCAGCAGACCCCTCCTGCCTTCCCCCACTACCCTCTGGGTGGCCAATGCTGCTGCTACCAAGATCTACATGGAGGCCAGCAGCCCTGGGCCTGCTAGAGCCCCTTCCCAGCTGATAAACTTGCACCCTGCTGTGCTGTCGCTGCTGCTGGCATGGGCGAATGAGCACAGATTCTGCTGCCACAGTCCAACAAAGCTCTTTGGCTGCAACCACTGTTCAGAGTGGTGGCCAGTGGTCCAGGAACTCCTTGACCCCTCTAGAGTAGCAGGTTTCCAACCATGAGGGGCTACAGACAAAAGCTGGATGCCCGATACCAGTCACCCAGAATTAAAGCACATAGCCCAGGGGTGCTGAGCTGAGCCTTGGACCCCCCAAAATCTACCAGAAATGAAGCTAATCAACTGAATCCACCTCATACCATAATCAAATCCCTAAGAACATTAAAGAAAATAAAAGAAAAAAAAAACATTCAAAGGACAGCAACTTCAAAGACTGAAGGAACATCAGCCCACACAGATGACAAAGAACCAGCACAAGAACTCTGGCAACTCAAGAAGCGTGAGTGTCTTCTTACCTCCACATGATCACACTGGTTCCCAAGAAATGGTTTTTAACCAGGCTGAAATGACTGAAATGACAGAAATAAAATTCAGAATATGGATAGGAATGAAGATCCTTGACATTCAGGAGAAAGTCAAAACCCAATCCAAGGATTCTAAGGAATACAATAAAATGATACAGGAGATGAAAGATGAAACAGCTGTTTTAAGAAAAAAGCAAACTGAGCTGACAGAGCTGAAAAATTCACTTCAAGAATTTCTGAATAGAATCACAAGTATTAACAGCAGAATTGACCAAGCTGAAGAAAGAACACCAGAGCTTGAAGACCAACTCTCCAAAATAACTCAGTTAGACAATAAAAAGTAAAGAAAAAACAAAAAGCCGAATAAACAGGGCCTTTGAGAAATATGGGATTATGTAAAGAGATCAGATCTATCACTCACTGGCATCCCTGAAAGACAGGGAGAAAAAGCAAGCAACTTAGAAAACATATTGCAGGATATCATCCATGAAAAATTTCCCAACCTCACTAGAGAGGTAAACATTCAAAATCAGGAAATGCAGAGAACTCCTGCAAAATACTACACAAGGAGACCATCCCCCAAACACATAGTTATCAGATTCTCCAAGGTTGAAATGAAAGAAAAAAATGTAAAAGACAACTAAAGAGAGGGGGCAGGACACCTACAAAGGGAACCCCAGCAGGCTAACAGGGGGATTTTCAGCAGAAACCCTACAAGCAGAAGAGATTGGAGGTCTATATTCAGCATTCTTAAAGAAAAGAATTTATAATCAAGAATCTCATATCCAGCCAAACTAAGCTTCATAAGCGAGGGAAAAATTAGATCCTTTCAAACAAGCAAATGCTAAGAGATTTTGTTACCACCAGAACTGCCTTAAAATAGATCCTGATGGGAGTGCTAAACATGGAAAGAAAAGACAGACCAGTCTACGGCCATACCACCCTGAACGCGCCGATCTCTTCTGATCTCAGAAGCTAAGCAGGGTCGGGCCTGGTTAGTACTTGGATGGGAGAAAAGACAGACCATTATCACTACAAAAACACACTGAACTACACAGAACAGTGACACTATAAAGGTATCACACAAACAAGTCTGCATCATAACCACCTAACAACATGATGACAGAACCAAACTGCATATATCAATACTAACCTTGAAAGTAAACAGGTGAAATGCCCCAAGTAAAAGGCATAGAGTGACAAGTTGGATAAAGAAGTTGGGCCCAATGGTGTGCTGTCTTCAAGAGACCCATCTTACATGCAATAACACCATAGGCTCAAAGTAAAGATAATGGATAAAAATCTACCAAGAAAATGGAAAACAGAAAAAAAGCAGGTGTTGCTATTTAAGTTCAGACAAAATAGACTGTAAACCAACAAAATAAAAAAAGACAAAGAAGGGCATTACATAATGGAAAGGGTTGAATTCAACAAGAAGACCTAACTATCCTAAATAATACATGCAGCCAAAACAGAAGCACTCAGATTCATAAAGCAAGTTCCTAGAGACCTATGAAGAGACTTAGATAACCACACAATAATAATGGGAGATTTCAACAACCCACAGGCAGTATTAGACAGATCATCAAGGCAGAAAACTAACAAAGATAATTGTGACCCAAACTCAATACATGGCTAAGTGGAAGTAATAGCAATCTATAGAAAATTTCACCCCAAAACAACAGAATATACATTATTCTCATCTGCACTTGGCACATACTCTAAAACTAACCACATACTTGGCCATAAAACAAACCTCAGCAAATTTGAAAAATACAAAATCATACCAACCACACTCTTGGACCACAGTGCAATGAAAATATAAATCAATACTAAGAAAATCACTCAATACCACACAATTACATGGAAATCAAACAACCTGCTTCTGAATGACTTTTGAGTAAATAATGAAATTGAGGCAGAGATCAAGAAACTCTTTGAAAGTAATGAGAACAAAGATACAACACACCAGAATCTATGAGACACAGCTAAAGCAGTGTTAAGAGGGAATTTTATAGCACTATATGTCCAAATCAAAAAGCTGAAAAGATCTGAAGTTAACAACCTACAATCACAATTAGAAGAACTTGACAAGCAAAAGCAAATCAATTCCAAAGTTATCAGAAGACAAGAAATAACCAAAATCAAAGCCGAACTGAAGGAAAATGAGGTGTGAAAAACATACAAAAATCAATGAATCCAGAAATTGTTATTTTGAAAAAAAGAAATATGATCGACTACTAGCTAGATAAATAAGGGAAAAAGAGAGATAATCCAAATAAACACAATCAGAAATGGTAAAGGGGAAAGTATCACTTTACAGAAATACAAAAAACTCTTAGAAATAGCTATGGACACCTCTATGCACACAAGGTAGAAAGTCTTGCAGAAATGGTTAAATTCCTGGATACACACAACCTCCCAAGACTGAATCAGGAAGAAATTGAATCCTTGAACAGATCAATAATAAGCTCCAAAATGGAATCAGTAATAAGAAACCTACCAACAAGAAAAAGCCCAGGAGTAGACGAATTCAGAGCTGAATTTTACCTGGTGTATAAAGAAGAGCTGGTACCATCTCTACTTAAACTATTCCAAAAAACTAAGGAGGGAAAACTCCTTTCTAACGCATTATGATGCCAGCATCATCCTGATACCAAAACCTGGCAGAGACACACATGCAAAAAGAAAACTTCAGGCTAATATCCTTGATGAACATAGATGCAAAAATCCTCAACAAAATGCTAGCAAATGAAAACCAGCAGCACATCAAAAAGCTAATCCACTATGATCAAGTAGGCTTTATCCCTGGGATGCAAGATTGGTTCAACATGTAGAAATCAATAAATGAAAATTATTATTCACCACATAAACAGAATGAAAAACAAAAATCATATGATTATCTCAATAGATGCAGAAAAGGCTTTTGATGAAACCCAATATCTCTTCATGTTAACAATCCTCAACAAACTAGGCATTGTAGGAACATACCTCAAAATAATAAAAGCCACTGTGACAAACCCACAGCCAACATCATACTGAATGGGCAAAAGCTGGAAGCATTTCTCATGAAAACTTGAACAAGACAATGATGCTCTCTGTCATCCCTCCTATTCAACATAGTACTGAAAGTCCTGGCCAGAGCAAGCAGGGAAAAGAAAGAAATAAAAGGCATTCAAATAAGAAGAAAGAAAGTCAAACTATCCCTATTTGCAGATAATTTGATTCTATGCCTAGAAAACCCCATAGTTTCTGCACAAAAGCTCCTTGTTCTGATACACAACTTCAACAAAGATTCAGGATGCAAACACTAATGTACCAAAATCAGTAGCATTCTAATATATCAATAACATCCAAGCTGGGAGCCAAATCAATAACAGAATATCATTCACAATATGTATATGTTATATATATTTTGTTTTATTTGAATTTCAGGATACATGTGCAGGATGTGCAGGTTTGTTACACATGTAAACGTGTGCCATAATGATTTGCTGCACCTATCAACCTATCACCTACGTATTAAGCCCAGCATGCATTAGCTATTTATCCTGATGCTCTTCCTCCCTTTGCTCCTCACTGACAGCCCCAGTGTGCGTTGTTTCCCTCACTGTGTCCATATGCTCTCATTGTTCAGCTCCCACTTACAAGTAAGAACATGTGGTGTTTGGTTTTCTGTTCCTGTGTTAGTTTGCTGAGGATAATGGCTTCCAGATCCATCCATGTCCCTGCAAAGGACATGGTATCATTCCTTTTTATGGCTTCACAGTATACCATGGTATATATGTACAACTTTTTAAAATCTAGTCTATGATTGATGGGTATTTAGGTTGATTCCATGTCTTTTCTTATGTTATATTTTTAAGGAATGAAATATTATTGGATAATGATTTAGATGGTTTAAGCGTTTGGGTTTCAGGTGACTGATTTCAACTTGAGCATATTTATATAATAACATGTGATACGGTTTGGCTTCTTCCCCACCAAAATCTCATCTTGAATGGTAATCCCCATGTGTGGAGGGAGGGAGGTGATTGGATCATGGGGACTGTTTCCCCCATGCTGTTCTCATGATAGTGAGTTCCCACAAGATCTGATGGTTTTAAAAGGGGTTCTTTGCTCGCACCCTCTCCTGCCACTTTGTGAAGAAGGTGCCTGCTTCCCTTTTGCCTTCTGCCATGGTTGTAAGTTTCCTGAGTCTTCCCCAGCCATGCAGAACTGTGAGTTAATTAAACCTCTTTCCTTCATAAATTACCCAGTCTTGGGTATTTCTTTATGGCAGTGTGAAAATGGACTAATACACCATATGTGGATTGCATAGCCCTTGTTGAGCTTATCGTCTTGCTGTAGTTTCTTCTGCTGATCATGTATCAGTAGGTCTTAATTGTAACCAGAAGCAACCATTAGCCAAATCAGCATACATATAAACACCACACTCTAGGCTCTAGGTGGTGAGATCATTACAGAGTAAAATATAGAAAATACTATTAATCAAAATCTAAAATGTTTATGACCATTTCCATGTAAGTCTTTATGGTTGTTACCCAAAAAATTGTCTTTGAAAGTCCCATTTAGGAAGTGTCTTAAAGGTTTTTGATGGAAGCTTTGTTTGAAAATCATGGAAATTGGGGGGAGGAGAGAGAACCCAGAAAGTAATTTCAATTTTATACATAAATTCATGTATTGCCACGTATTTTCACTCAAGTATGTGTTAATTTGATAAGGGTGATAGTTGGGACACTTAAGATGTGAACTCATGTAAAGAGAGGAAAATTACAGGACTAAGATATCTGCCCAGTAGAATTTCCTGCACCCTACTCTGTATCTTTGTTTACCCACTAAAATCCATGCTTTTTTTTTGAGATGGAGTTTCTCTCTTTGTTTCCCATGCTGGAGTGAAGTGGTGCGATCTTGGCTCACTGCAACCTCCACCTCCTGGGTTCAAGCGATTCTCCTGTCTCAGCCTCCCAAGTAGCTGGGATTACAGGTGGCCACCACCACGCCAGGCTAATTTTTGTATTTTTAGTAGAGACGAGGTTTCACCATGTTGGACAGGCTGGTCCTGACCTCAGGTGATCCTCCCGCCTCGGCCTCCCAAAGTGCTGGGATTACAGGCATGAGCCACCACGCACGGCCCCGTTTAATTTTCTTTATGTTTGGTTCTATGAATCTTTTTCTTGGCAGTGAGATTGTTTGGTCCCTACTCATGTCAGTTAAAAAAAATCTCTGGCTTTAATTGCATTACGTAGTCAAATTCACCATCACGGTTCCATCTATTTTTCTCTGCACTTGCTATTGCTCATCCTTATGAAAATCCCATCACTGCTGCCTTCCACTCAGCTCACTAGTATCTCTAGGATAACCTACTGCCTATCATTCTTGAGAAGTGTCAACTTGGCCTTAAAAGTCTGACATGTTTTGGAAGGATGAGGAGGGAGAATTTCTTGAGGCCAGAAGTTCAAGTCCAGCCTGAGTAACAAAGTGAGACCCTCTCTCTACCAAAAAAAAAAAAAAAAAAAATTAAATAAAATTTTTGAAAACTTCTCTAGGAATGGCGGTATGTGCCTGCAGTCCCACCTATTCAGGAGGATGAGGCAGGAGAACTACTTAATCCCCCTGAGTTCAAGGCTGCAGTGAGCCATGATTGTTCCACCACATGGAAGCCTAGGTGACAGGGAAAAAACCCTGTCTAAAAAATAAATAAATGAAAATAAAAAAATAAAATTTAAAAATAACCAGGCATATCAGGTAGTATTGACACCTGGGGTTTAAAACCAGTCGACGAGGTCCTAAGAAACTTGCTTCTTTTGGCCCTCTACTTCTTATTCTGAAATTCTTCCTGGAGTGCCAATATGATAAACATAACAGTCTTTCCTGAGATATGTGCATAAAGTACACTCTTCTTCTTCATAGACTCTCCCCACTCTTCCCCTTCCTCCCACCAAGTAGAGACACACAAGCAATCACATTTTAACAAGAAATATACCAATGTGAATTTTAAAAGTAGAGGATATGCAAAATTTTTACAGTTTTAGTATCACGTAGTTTAAAATCCAAGGAAAGTCTATGCATTCAAAAAATATTTGCAAAGTAATATTTGAAAAAGGCAAGACAAGCCAGCACAGGGAATCTTTTAGATTTAGAGTTAAATTTTACTTTGCAAATGGCAAAGACTCAACTAGTGGTAGTTGTGCTCCCAAAGAGTAATGTTGACTTTGACTAAGTCATTTACTTTCTTCCATAAACTTATCTGGCTTTGTTACCTCCTATATACTCCACAGCATGTTCATATGTCCCATCACACCTTCATTATTACAGCATTGATAATGGAAATTAAGTATGCATCTTAGCACTTTAAACTCTTTGGACCAAAAAGCACTAAATAAAATTTGTCATTAAAAAAATCTTGCAAATACCCTCAAGGTCTCAAGAGCAGTAATGAAAATCAAAGTTGATGTTTGAATCTTTATACTCAAATGCAATAACATGCATCAAGAAATACTAAGTTGCATCCTTTGCAGTTCTCTCCATCTTCTGTTTTTAGATCTCAAGACAAAATCCTTTGTTTAGCTTGTGTGCATATTAGACAATTTCTCAGATATTGTTCACTTTTGGCACATACAACTAATTAAGAACCCCGTTAACAGGCTAACATGAAGATGATGTTTTTCTAATACATTGTTTTATTTCTGAACATGAATAGGGATATTTTTAGCGGTTTGGTTATACACTAAATAAAATATTTTGTGCCTTTTAAAGGATCCCTGATAATGCATCTATACTCTTTCCCAGAAGCCCACAATATAATTCTGATTTTATTTTTCAAAATAATCTTTTTCTCCCTTTATTGGAAAATGTCACTTCATCAATCCTTTAGCAATAAACTCCTGCTGTGGCTTGACCTCCCTCTGTAACTTTTGTGACTTTACAATTCATCCTTTAAGTGGAGCTGTCATTTTGGCATGATCCTTGGTTTAATCCTGTTAAGCTCCTGCAAGCATCCCATTTTATATATGTTGAACACTTCGTTGAAATGTAAGACACTTTTACAATCCATTTTTCATTTCCAAAGCTGCTGCTGTAGAGTAAATTCACCATTCACTCTTTCTGAAACTGTGCACTTTCCAAGGAGATTGACATTCCTGAAATTGTATCATCATTTTCCTCATTCATTTTACCTGTCATTTCTTTATCTGTTCTCATTCTGTATGGTCCTCAGTGTGTCCTGTAACTTACCTACATTTCTTAGAGACTAATAAAATTCACCCCAGCTTCTAATGGGTGCAAAAGAAATCCCCCTTTATGTTGAAGAAAAATACAACAACATATCTGTAATTCATAGGCCTGGTTTTCATTCTAGTCCTATCATTTAACAGCTATAGGACTTGAGCAAATCACTTCAATTCCCTTTATTAGTTATTAGTATCATCTACTTCAAATAATCATGAATGATTCAATGAACCTGATATGAACAATACACAAAAGAATAGCCATTATTTGTTTTACTACTAAGTTTATTTGATAAAGAATTAGAGAACTAAAATGTATTGAGCACCTAACATGTACCAAGGACTGCACTTGGAATTTTACAATTATTCACAAATGTTGTCATTAAAGTTGCTTCAAAAAAGGAATGCGAATTTGTCTTTGCTCATGTGTTATGTAGATCCATGCTGTTATAACTATGATATAGTGCATTCAGTCTTTCCATCTCTATAAATTTTAGTCTCTTCATCTGAAAATGAAGATAATATTACTTAATTTTAGGATTACTTTGAAGACTAATGAAATTATATAAAGACCTTAGTAAAATATCTTGCAGATGTATGCTTTAAAGAAAAGTTATCTGTATTTATTGTAGTCACAGTGGCCATGGTGGTAGAGGTAATAGGCAGAAATTTTTCAGCTTATGAACAATTTGTGTACTCCAAATGTTTCTAAGATTTTTAATATTGTATGCATATTGATGTGTATTTCATTTTAATATTTGTTGTAAGGTGGTGTTGTAATTAGATGTTCAAGAAGACCCACAAAAACCCCTTTAATCTGTAGTAGAGCTGGACTGTTTTATTAATAGGACTATATATTTCTCTCATTCTAATGTGTCATCCCTGTATATTCATGGACCCATTTAAGATTTCAAATATTTTCGGCCGGGCATGGTGGCTCACACCTGTAATCCTAGCACTTTGGGAGGCCAAGGCGGGTGGATCATCTGATGTCAGGAGCTTGAGACCAGCCTGGCCAACATGGTGAAACGCTGTCTCTACTAAAAATACAAAAATTAGCTGGGCATGGGGCACCTGTAATCCCAGCTTCTTGGGAGGCTAAGGCAGGAGAATCGCTTGTACCCGAGAGGAGGAGGTTGCAGTGAGCTGAGATCGCGCCATTGCACTCCAGCCTGGGCAACAGGCCAACTCTATCTCAAAAAAAAAAAAAAAAAAAATTTCAAATATTTTCAAGGAAACCATATTAAACTGATTTTGACAGAGAGTCTTAAAGAATAAAAATATTCTGTAATGGTATACCCAAACTAATGATAACATAAAGCTATAACATTAAGCTATAGACTTTATAAATATTGAGTATTTTTACTGTAATTTGTTGCCATGAGGAAGCAAATGTCCAATTCAACTGGAGATGGCACAGTCCTAGAAACAAGGACCCCACATCAATCCTTGAATTGGTCATCTCTGACTGAAATTGAAAATCAAAGGGAGATGTCTGTCTTGTTTACTTATTTTCAAATATCACTGAAAATATAGTTTTCTTACTTGTCAACTGCAATTACAGTGTCTGAGTATTTTAAATATTTTATCTTCTGTTTGATTGTTTTTATGCTCTCATTAAGGTCTTTATTTTAGGGTATTTATTTTTCAATTAAGGTTACCTTCAAGACATTATTGATTTGTTTTTATTGAACCTTCTTAAATATCTTAATTACTAATAACCTCTATAATTTTACATGAATTACCTAGGAGGAAGCTGACTTAAAATTTATATTTTTGTTTAACTGAGAATTCCAACTGTTGTTCTAGGATATCTTGGTATTTTGCATCTATAAATGTGGTCACAGAAAAGAGAGAGATTTTATTATTTAACTCACTGTTTCTCAAAGTGTTCTGCCCACACAATTATAAAATGTGAGATGATTTTAGGTAGTGCATGAACTTTCCTTAAAATATGTATTATCAAATCCCAAAAGCACCTCAATCCCATTATGTCACAAATGTTTTACTTAGATAATTGCAAAAAATTATTAAAGTGGATTTAGAGGAAATATTAACTATATATGTTTACATATATAAATACATACATAATTTTCCAATATAGTATGGGCTTTAGAAAATTTGCTAAAGAAATAAAATTTTGTAAACTATTGGAAAACTCAAAGATTGTCGGGGAAAGTTGGCTTCATACTTCCAGTTGAGGATGTGCTGGGCACCTTTGTCATG
Organism: Homo sapiens; assembly: GCF_000001405.40. NCBI lineage: Eukaryota > Metazoa > Chordata > Mammalia > Primates > Hominidae > Homo > Homo sapiens. The sequence continues at coordinate 59,739,885 of NC_000016.10, forward strand.
CACCTCTCTGGGAAAATATGTGTGATTGAAAGTCCAGTTGTGCCTAAGGCTAGAAGTAAAAACATACAATCATTAGAATTTGTATTAGTAGATATCAACATGAGAGAAAAATAAAGAGTAATGTTATTAAGGAGATATTAATATGTAGCAAGCACACAAACAAACTATAACAACAATAAGTTTCATGGCTAATAAACTCAAGCAAGTTTCTTTGATACAGGTTTTCTTAGCACCATTATGCTAATCGCAGTGCAAATCACCAAGAAGCAGACCAAATATAAGCTATTTCCTAAGTATGTTTGATCATGAGGCCCTTCCCTTCAAAAATTCCTATTAATATTTCAGAGAAGCGAGAGTGTGCAATACTTGGTGACTGTTAAAGGAATAATGTTTGAGAAAAACACATGTAATTCAGTTTCTTGAACTTCTTAATGGCAGAAACTAATTTTTATAGGTCTCTACATTTTGTATGCATGAACATAGCAACTGTCAAAAAATATGAATGAACTAGTCCAATAATTCATCAGATTTAAGATATTAGAAAGGATAGGATAAGAAATCATTGTAATTGTGAATTAAATTGAGTTGCTCAAAAGAGAGACTTTTGATCTTATCTGTAATCTTCACTTTTATTAATTTTTTCTATATTTGCTCTGAATTCAGAAACAAGTGTCTCCATATAGATGACCCATGAGGTCCTGAAAGTCAAGTCGATTCTCACTTCTTGCACTCTCTTTTTCTACTCTTAGTACATGTAGGATACTATACTGTGTGTTTGCCAAAGTTCTCAATGTATTATAGATGCAGGACAGGTGGGGCCCAAAATTGAAGCTCAGCCTGGGAGGGTTATTGGTTTAATCCAAAAAGGAATTAAAGGGTAAGCCAGTGGTGTTGGACAGAAATCTTTTATTGAATGGTACTGCTCCTTGGGGAGCGGGGCTAACTCATAGGCAGTGTGCCCAGAGTAGGCAACGTTGGTGACTGTATTTATACATACTTATACCCACTTTCAATTTTATGCAAATTAATGGGAAGGTTAATGCAAATTGAGGGGTGGGTTTCTAGAACTTCTTTAAAAAGGGGTGGTAACCTCTGAGTCATTGCAATGGAAAGGGCTGGTAATTTCCAGTTGGTTGCCATGGCATTTGTAAACTGTCATGGCACTGGTGGGAGTGTCTTATGCCTATGAGGAATGAGGGCAGCTGGGATCCCTTTTGTCACTATCTGCTGGTTTCAGCTGATTTCTTCACTTTATCCTGTCTGAACCAGATCCCATTTTGGTCAGTAGGGTTGTGACCAGAAAATAGGCCCTGCCAGTCTCCTGTCTCCTTATTATATAATAGAATGAATGACTGAATAGCCAACTTTAAAGCACCCTGTATGGTTCAGCTTAGACTTTTCTTTGATCTGAAAAATTATCCTCTGATATTGACTTAAGGGGTACCCTTTATATGTATGTAATTCCATAGCATTCTCCACTTATCCATTAATAAAAGTAATGAAAAATTATAGCAATTATCAATGTAAGTATCTCTTTCCATTGAAATTCTTTAAGAGTATACTCGTGCTGAATTTATCACAGGCACATTATCTGGCTCATAGGAGGTGTCCAGTAAATATCTGATGAATGAAGAATAATGAAAACTTTATTATTGAAAGAAAATCCATTTGACATAAAGGCCATTGCCTGTCAAACACAGTCGCCATAGTACTGGGTATGTAAATAAGATAAATAAAATGTAATAGTCTAGAAATGTGATTTGGACCACTTATGCAAACCACTGTATTATGGAAGTTACAAGCAGTATGAAGTAATTATTGGTGCCTATTAAAAACAGGAACTTAATGGCATTGAGGCAAACATTTGCTGTTCACTAGCTGTGTATGACCTTTCTCTACACATTTCTTTTGTGTCACATTTTTTGACTTCTCTTTACATGCATTATACAAGCATTACATTTATTTCTCATTAGAGCTGGAGACGGGTGGTAGGGGAAGGGTAGGGGCTCATAAAAAAAAATAGCCTGAGAGAGCACAGGTGACTTTAGAGAGTTCAACAATGTCAACAGAACAAGTGACACAGCAGCATCATAGTAAAGAGAACATCATGTACATGGGATGCCCACCAAGAGTATGAAGCAATCTTATGGATGAAGCCATCTTCAGCATCTGAATGTATGCTGGAGGCAGCAATATGGAAGGATTTCACATGTGTCTGCAAGGGCCCATGTTTACAGAAGAAACAATGTCACGAAAGCATGAAATGGGGAAAGCTGAGTGAAAATGAACCAACCTGATACCCAAAGAAGACCAGGTTCTGGGTAGGAGCAATTGGTGAGGTACAGCATGTAGTACATTGTTTTTTTTCAAATTCCTCAGCAATTTGATGTTATGCTAGATATTCTAGTTAGTGAGATGATCTTGCAGTGTTTTCTTCCTCTCCTAGTGACTTCTGATTTTAGTTGTCCAGTTACTTTTTGGTTATGACTCATTCATTTAAACCACCGTGTATTCTGATTATACCTATATTATGAAGTGATCTGCCTTTATATTTTTTCAGTAAACACAATGTAAGAACATAAATTCAGGGTGAAAATGTCTACAAATATTAAGTAGCATTATCTATACTTGGCTAATCTAATTTCGAAGTATTTAATGCTTTCATGTACCCTGACATTTTACTGCATTCCTATCAGATATTTTCCTGTATAAGAAATGTGATATATGTTGTTGTATTTCTGTACACCTTCTTGGCAATCTGAAGGAAACGAGTTTTCATATAAGTCAACCAATTTGTGGGCCCATTAAGAAAATGAGCAAGGTATACTTGTGCTTGTAGTCTTACAATGCATATGAGAAAGAATATTCCAAGACATGTATATAGAAAAGGACTAGAAAAGGAAACTGGGGAGAAGGGAGATGGGAGACAGGAGTTAACCTCTGGAGACAGGAGTTAACCTGTAAATGTATCACATAACCAGGAAGATGAAACAGAAAACAAACAAAGAAAAAACAAGGGAGACTCTTAGCAGTCACATTATCCTCAACACAACTGAACACAGTTTACACTTCACTGAGAACCTCCAGGAAACTCATCTTCAATGGCTTAACATGTAAAAAACAAATAGTGATTTTTTAAGGCTTGAGGAATTTGACTAGTCTTTAGTTAGTTCTCTGGATTTCTCTAGTTAGTTAATATAATGATATAATAGATTTATTCCTAAACTTGTTCACTCTACCTTAACTTTATTTTCATAACAGCTTATGCTCCTGAAAATTGTTCTCAGTGATGGAGAACTTGCAAATGTGAACTGAACTCTCAAGGTTGGGTGGAGAATTATGTTTTAATTCATCTGCCATTTTCCCTCCAATAGTATAGCATATGATCAAGTTAAGATATAAAAATAAGATTTACTTTAAGCTGAGAATGGCTCTTTAGTTTAGAATTAACTGATGGTAGATGTATGTCACTTCTGGTGTTAACATGGTAAGATTTCTCTATTGATCAAGTAGCATTCCAGAGGGGAAAGCTGTTTCCAGAGGACAGACGCTATGCTACACAAACTGTCACTTTCTTGCTATTATGGAGCCAGGAGTAACTCAGCTGCTAATTAAACTGGGATGAATTAAGGTAAATTGAATCTTCCTGCACATCTGTTCCAGGTCTGCAAATAGGACCATGAGGCACAGCAGACACAGCTCATTTGACAAGAGCCTTCTTCTACTTTCCAATCAGTCCCAAAGAATCTTAGCACCTCAGGTCATGGAATCCTGAGGTAAGAAAGAATGTGAATGAGAGAACACTGACAACTATCTTGTGCATATCTTGACACTAGGAATATGCAAAACAATAATTCCATATTCACAGAAACCTGGAAGGCTTTCAAAGTTGGGTCGTTTTAGAATATGGACTACATGGCCAGGCGCAGTGGCTCACGCCTATAATCCCAGCACTTTGTGAGGGTGAGGCGGGTGAATCACGAGGTCAGCAGTTCAAGACCAGCCTGGCTAAGATGGCAAAAATACAAAATACAAAAATACTAGAATACTAAAAATACAAAACTAGCCGGGCGCAGTGGCAGGTGCCTGTAATCCCAGCTACTCCGGAGGCTGAAGCAGGAAAATCACTTGAACCCCAGGGCGGAGGGTGCAGTGAACCGAGATTGTGCCACTGCACTCCAGCCTGGGAGACAGAGTGAGACTCTGTCTCCAAAAAAAATATATATATATATGGACTACACACACTTATAAAACAAAATCAATAGATTAAGATTACATCAGTTATCCCCTGATGACTCCTTTAAACATACCTTGAAGGATAGTTTGATACTATTATTTCTGTGGCTACCTAAAATATTCATATAATTTAATCTCATTTCTTTAGTTAATCCTCTATTGTTGGAAAATGTTGTGGTTTCCATTTTTGTTTCTTTTTACTGTTGTTACGGGTAAAGCTGTAATTATTTCTCATACATATATAAACACACACACATATATATGTGTGTTTGTGTGTGTGTGTTACACATATATTCCACCTACACTTGTGGTTATTTACTTGAATTACACTTCTAGGACTAAAATTTTGGGGATCAAATTTTATTTCCAATTTTCCATTTGTGTATACATCACTAAATTACCAGGAGATATTTTACCTACTTTATCTATTTCCTGATATTTACAAATTCCTTTCCTTCCCACCCTCCCCCCCTTCCTTCCTTTCCTTCTCTATTTGTCCCTTTATTACACAGACTTTCTTTCAATGGGTTCACAGTAATGAAAATCAAAATATGAAAATGTAATACAATTACACTGACAATCTCTAATTACAAATAAATTAATCAAATCTTGCAGAAAAGTTAACATTGTACATTTTCAGACAAAAGAGTGCTAATTCTTATATTCACATGAAAAATGATTCTGTATGTAGGTTTTTCATCAAAGTGAAAGATCTGGATTGTGATGTTAAGAAAATTAGATACCTACATAATAAGCAAAAAGAAATATAAGAAATAAGAATAATCTCTAGGTTGACTATTATTGACTAATTATTGATTCTAGTGATCAAGTGCTAATGGCTTTGCTAGGCTCTCGGATTAATACAAGAAGACATAAAGATAATCTTTGCATTAAAAAGGTTTGTTTACTTGTTTGCGTCTTCTCTGCACTGGAGGCATAGAGCATTAAAAAGCACCTTGTATTCAAGAAACGGGGTTAGTTCTGTGTGGTGGAAGCATGAAAAGCGCTAGGAGGAGTGAGGAAAAGTATGGAATAGTAAATTGTACTACAAAGTGAAAAATCTTGAAATCCAACCTAGAAATCCCCAAAGTAAGTTTCCCAGGACACTAGCAGCTGTATTTGTCCCTCGAAAATGTGACCCATGGATATATACGATTAGAAGATTCTGACTTGATATCTTCCCCTTGACAAGTTAAAATGTACATTAGCATCTAAGCAGATCTGAGAAGTCTTTCACTAAGAAATCAAATTACCTTGGTTTAATCCAGCATTTCCTATACCTAGTTAATCAATGGAACTGTTGAGATGTAAAACCCGATGCTATCTCACACAAAGAGAAAAAACTCTTGTAGACAGTACAGAGCCCCAAAAAGTTTTTGACAAAAAAATATGATATTATTCCAATCTCAACCATACAGGTATTGAACAGAGAAGAAAGAGACATATCTAAATTTAAAGAAGAATATACAGGAAAATGCATCAGAAGTAAAGTAAGCTCCTGGAAATATGGGAATTCCCAAAATATTTCAAGAGGCTGATGTAGTTAGTAAGAATCTCTGCCTGCAGAGCTGGTGTTGGTATACTTGACTCTCGCCAGGTACTTGGGCACCTATGTCTATTACCTCAATTTGGGGTAATATTTGGGTCAGACACCTCCTTTCTCCTTTTCAAGCCCATCCCACTCATCGCCACCCACGCATGGAATGCAGGCCAGAAAGAAATGAGTAGGAGCTTCCACTGCAAAGAGGGAAACAAAAAACTCAAGGTTAAGGTTGATGCTTATCCCTAAAAATTATGAAAATTTCCAAATGTCAGATAAGTTTCAAGAGTAATACTACTTTGAATAGAAATAAACTTCAAAGATTTGGACTTCGACTTGAGTTCAAAAGTTGGAAAAATGATATATAATGCAAAATGAGTTAAATGATCACTTCTTTTAAATATCCAAGATAAATATTTGCTGATCCTCAAGCTCTAACAAAGCACTAAACAGAATTGATAGGGATGAGAATGATTTTATTTATCGCAGGAGGTCATACTTTCTGTCTGGCACATTGAATCATGAAAAGGTCTTGGGCATGTATGATGATGAGGATTGCTCTAGGTAGGAAATGAAGGTAAAGTGCATTTCTGTTAATTCTTGCCATTCATCATCACCTTTCTTGATCAGTTCATGTAACATCACACAGGAGCATATGAGGAGCCTTTTAAAATTGTTTTATTTTCTAGTTTAAAAATTGAGGATACTACCTTTACCACCTCATTCCCCAAATTAGTACATTTAAGGTTCTCATTACATATTATCTTCTAAAATAATAGTAATACTGTTAGCTGGGGGTTCTTCTGTTTTTCAGTCACTCTACTAAGCACTTGTTTTAAGGGTCACTTTGTATTATTTGACTTGACCCCCACAGGAAACTTACAAGCAAAATCCAATTTTACCTCTAAGAGAAAACTAAGGCTTAGATGTTGAGTAATTTGTTAAAATCATGGAGCTAGGCAGTGGCAGAGACAGGACCCAAATCATAGTGCAAGCTACTTTTATTTCACTTGGAGCTACTTTGACTTAGAAGACCATTTATGATCTGACAGTCTCTCACTGTCCATTCTTTCTCTAATTTAATCTCCTTCATTTCATTGCTAGATCACTCCTCTCCTGCCACCCAGGCCTCTTTACTCTTCCCCAAATATGTCAAGTATGCTCATTTGTGCCTTAGGGACTCTACATTTGTTTGTTCTTCCTGAAATGTCTTCTCCCAGAAAGTCGGTGTGATGTGCTTTTTCTAACCTCCTTCTGCTTATTTGAGTATCAGATCAAATGTCACATTGTCCCCACCTTCCACGTGTCTGCCTCCAAAAGTCTTTCTCCTCTTTCATCTGCTTACTGTTTGCCAATGTACATGTAACCATCTAACATACTTGAGTTCTGCTTACTTATTTTCTTACTAAACCTTCCCACCGTGAGTCTGTAAATTTTCTGAAGGTAGCTACTTTGTGTGTTTTATTGACTACTGTACTCTGAGAACTTACAACAGTATTTGGCAAATAGTATTAAATTACTATGTGTTGAGTTAATTAAGAATTATTTTCTCTTGTCTTTATTCTTACGTATGTTTCATTTTCCTATTTTTATATTTTTAAAATTTATCTTTCATCTCTAAAGCCTTATTACTGCAAGCAAATCAATCTCTAAGTATTTTAGTAAACAATAAGCAGATGCGACAAACTGTATGTAGACCTCATACCCAAGGATGCTAGAATATGGCCAATGCATTTCAATGGTTAGGAAATCACATGTAGTCTCTACAAAACAAGGCAAGAAGAGATTGCTTTAGTTTTTAGGTTTTTTTTTTTCCTCTTTCAGGCTTATAATTTCAAATATATTGGAATTAAGATAGGAAAATGCAAAAAAATATTAACCAAGTCATTTGAAGACAATGATTTTAAGTATTAATATAATTGAATTGTATTGAAAGAATGTGAATAGATGAGAAATAAAAATAATTTCCATGAGTTATGTCTAGAAACAAATACAAAGGGACATAAAAGCCCAGTGCACATGCACCAAATTGACTCCAGACAAGTCAAAAGTAATCTCTAACGTACTTTTTGCCTCATATCAGCAGTGACTGGATTTCTCTACACATATAAAAATAGAAAAACATGCTTGTTTGGTATCAAAATGTACTGAATATGTAAAAATATTATTTCTTATTACCATGCATTTCTTCTACTATGACTTGTCAGGTGCTTCATGCTGTTCTTTTTATCTTTGGTTGAGTCACTTCTATTTGCCCTAAAAAAGTACATTGTACATTTCCATTTCTTTTATTCCTGTGATTACTGTATTTGGGTGTTTGTCATCCATAATCTGGAATACTGAAAGAAGCTGTTCATTATTTTTTCTACCATCTTTTCTAGACTTCCAGTCTAGCCTGTGGATATTATGAGAAAATACGCTTGTAAAGCTCACTATCTTCAAGGGTCCTCCATTACGTATGGAATAAACCCAAAATTTCCAAGCAGAAATTCCCAATGGCCTGGCCTTGACTTCTCACTGTGTTCTACAGATTAAATTTTCTGATTATTCTGTTCCAAGTGTCATTTCCAAAAGAAGCTATGTAGCTTGTTCATATGATTTCCTTTCTTGGAACATTATTGTCTACTCTGGATTCTCTATAAATATTACTTATTTATTTTTTTATTTTTAGACCTAACTTGAAAGAGACTTTCTTCTTTTTCTGATTTCTTTCAGAATCAGAAACAACAGCATATATGCCTTTTTTTCTTTGTAGATTTATATTCAGGGACCACACGTATTTCAGCTTTGTTTTCTTCAGAATATTTAGAATTGTGCTTTGCATTCTGCTGGATCTCAATTTGTTTATTTGTCTCCATTATTTTTGCTGTACAACAAATACGCCAAGATTCAGTAGCTTAAACCAACTCATTTATTATGATCACAGAATCTGAGGCCAGGAATCCAGGCAGAGCACAGGATAAGCCCATCTGTGTTTCACAATGTTTGGGTCTTCATCTGGGAAGGCTAAAGGGCTGTGGGTTTCATTTAATCACATGTGGATTCTGGCTGGTGTGACTCAAAGACAAAGACTGCCAGCGAAAGCATCTCCATGTGACTTGACTTTTTCACAGCATGGTGGCTTCGGGGAAGTCAGACTTCTTATTGTAGTTCTGGTCTCTAAGGGGAAGTGTTCAGCAAACATAGAGAAAGTCCCAGTGTCCTTTATGGCCCTTCTCAGAAACCACTGAGCATCACTTCTACTTCACTCTATGAGTAGAAGCAGTGACAACTCTTCCAGATTCTAGGCCAGGGCACATAGACCCTGCCTTCTGTGGAAAATGGGAGGAATTTTGGAGCAATGTTTTGAAATTCTACACTTGCGTTCTACATATGGCTACTTTTAAGGTACAAAATAACTTTGTGAAATGATCATGGACAAGCTCTTGTATTTCTGATAACAGAAATCAGATTTGTTTTTCTTCTATCGATGGCTGCTATTTCTGCAGTGCAGCAGAAATAGAACAGCTTGGACTTGGGAGTAAGGTAAGCCTGGGTTCAAATCCTGGCTGTGTAGTTCATCAGTATGCGTCATTGTACAAATTATTCAACACATCTAAGCCTCTGATCATTCAATTATACCCCGGAGAGAACGATATCTCAAATAATTGAGATGAGGATGAAATACAATAATGCACATGAAATAAAATGTGTGAAACATAGTTGGCCCTAAATAAATATTAATTTCCTTTAGCCTTTCTCCATCCAAATCAAGCCTGCAGTTATCTTTACATAAACACATCTAGAATAAAAATATTCCAATAAGAAGATAGTATTTGAATTCCTTGTGTAGAATAGATAAGGAATTTATAGGAATGCTAGGCAAAGGTAAGAAAGATGTGACAAAACCTGGTTAGGTGACCTTAGTTTTATGGTCTGGAGTTTAGTGGCTAGAGGAAGGGAGAAGAGATAAGCCCAGGGAAGTAGCCATGGGGACAATTTAAATTAAGATTTCTATTTTTCTATCATGTTTTTCTTGTTCTATCTTTATCCCAATAGATAATAATTTCAATTCTGTACAATGATAATTCTCTAGTGCTTTCTGTAAGTAACATGGCACAGAGTCTCCTCAGTGACCATAATGCTGAACAGTTGAGTTTTCTCATTGTCCCCTATTATATCCTTCACCTCACAACTCTGTGGGAAGAGCAGCTGCAGGGTGCACTGAATATTAATCTCAAAGCAGCAGGCTGATCAGGGAAGGAATATACCATCTAGAGACACCCAGGAGGAAAATGACTCCAATTAATGTGACAGCTTATGATTATTTATGTTATTATTTTTGTTATTTATTTCTTTGAAAAGGGATTGATTGCTTCATTTGAAAATGGAAGCAAATAAATTTAACCAGTAAGGGGAGAATTGAATAATGGTTCTGGAAGATGTATTTCAAGTGGTGCTACGAAGATTTTTAATTATTCAGGGTTGGATCTATCATGCGGCACCCAGAGAGACCGTTTAACTCCCCACAGGAGGGAGACTGCCTTTTAACAGGATTAGTCAGCATCATCACCAAAGTCACATTGTGTACTCATTATGCTATGTGCATATGATAATTATGCTGCACCTGTATAGGATTCAGAAATATGTATGGACAAATTCTATCTATATTGGTGATATATATAATATATATTATATGTGATATATATAATATATATGTGATATATATAATATATATTATATGTGATATATTATATATAATATGTGATATATAATATATATTATATGTGATATATAATATATATTATATGTGATATATATAATATATATCACATATAATACATATATGAGTTGATAGAATATATGCTAAGATAATATAAATGTTAATAGTGCTTAATCTGTGCCAGAGTGTATTTGTCCATTTTCACACTGCTATAAATAAGTTCCCTGAGACTGGGTAATTTATAAAGGAAAGAGGCTTAATTAACCCACAGTTCTGTATGGCTGGGGAGGCCTCAGGAAACTTACAATCATGGTGGAAGGCAAAGGGAAAGCAGACACCTTCCTCACAAGGCGGCAGAAGAGAGAAGCATGTGAAGAGAGAAACTGTCAACCACTTATAAAACCATCAGATCTCATAAGAACTCACTCACTATCACGAGAACAGCATGGGGGAAATTGCCCCCACGATCCAGTCACCTCCCTCCCTCTACACGTGGGGATTACGATTCAAGATGAGATTTGGGTGGGGACACAGGGCCAAACCATATCACAGACTTTATATATATTAACACATTTAATTCTCACAATAACGCTAAGAGGTATATTCTATTGTCATCCCTATTTTACAAAAGGGAAACTGACACACAGAGATATTAAGTAACTCACACAGATCACAAGTGGCAGAACTGGGATTCAAACACAAGCAGTTTGGTTTTAAAAAAAATGTGTGCATCTCTGCATATTTTATATATGCACACACACTTACATACATGTATGTGTAGTTGGGTTATTTTATGAATAAATGTACAACAATGTAGATAAGAGACACAGATAAAGTTAGACCTAAAAATGTAGATGTGTATAGATGTGGCTACTGGGATACATCCCTTCTGCTTCTGTGACCTTAGTGTTCTGTAGTAACTTAAAATAGACATTTGAAATAGATCACTAGACCAGAAGATTTTTAATAATATCTTATTGGTCATAAGACATTTAATATGTCCCATGAGTCAGGAAATGAACTAGTTCAAGCTTGAAGCAAAGACAAAATAAACAAAACACAGATTTGATAGTCTCTGAAACTGAAATAAATTTCCATCTTTTTACTCTAGTTTCTCCTTTCAGCCTATCAACCATTTAAAAAATATAGAAGAACTTCAGGCAATTCTCTTTAATTTTTCAAGATTTATACCTCCACCAATAAGTTTAGCATTATAACTTATAGAAAAAATTTTCTAATATGCATATATCCTTGGCATTAAGTCTTCTCATAGGGTTATAAAATGCCAAGGTTAGTTATCCAGCATGTCTACATAGTCTGCATGAAGGCAACAATGCTAGACAGTCATTAGATCTTAAAATACAAGTGTGGCTATTAGGATACATTCCCTCTGCTTCTATGACCTTAGGGATGTAGAAGGCTTGAGAAGAGAGAGTAAGCATGAAAATATCCCATTTGATTTATTCAGCTGCTTTGGAGCTTATTTCTTTAAGATTATTAACATTGTAGTACAACAAGCACTGTAATTTAAAAAGGATTCCTTAGAACTGTTCCACCTGAAGTGAGAAGAAACTGGGTATTGGTCCTTCAACTCTTACCTGTCATTGACAGAGAGCTATTTCTTGGGAATATCAAGCCCTGCAATCCTTGTGTCTATCACCAGCCCAGAATGCCAGAGAAAGCCCTCAAGTGCTTGTTTTTGGAAGCCACAGCTAGTACGGGATTGGTGGGACCTGAGGAGACATGGGTGAGGGGTTAACAGCATCTGCTACAGATAAGCAGACACTTTCCATTCCTGCACAATGCTCAGTCATCACAACGAGTATTAGAAGTACATATTGGCCCTCCCTTTGGAGAAATGTCATCTTATTAACATCTTACATGTGTTTTCCCATGAATTAGCTCATTTAGTTCTTAAGAGAATAGAGTTAATGACACGATGTCTAAATATTTTAAGTGTGTTGCTCAAAAACAAATAACAAATGAAATATTAGAAGTCAGGTTACCCAAGCCGAGGGTGCCCACATGACACTTCTCGAGAGACTGAGGAATTTTCTTCAGTTAAGATTGTACCAGGGCTCCATCTTCTTAACCAGCAAGGTAGGGTGGCCTCAATTCAACATCAGCTGAATTCAAGGCTGTTTTCAGAAACTATAGTGTTACTTGGGGCAGAACATTCTCAAAAGCAACAACAAAAACTTTCTCAGGAAAGTTTCATGGAAAGAAGAATGTAATTAACATCTGGTGGAAGTTAATTAAGGATCTCTGGTGTAAAGGCAATGAGGTGATATGGAAATTACATTGGGTCGAGGAGGCAGAGACCTGGTCCTAATGTAGTGTCTGCCATCAACCAGCTGTGTGACATGGATTAAATCACTTGTCCTCAGGAAACCTCAGGTCCTAATTTATAAATAAAGCTCTTTGTGCTTAAAGTGTATTTTGAGACCCTGAAGAGGGAAGCAACAAGCAACATTACATTTAAGTAGTACATTACTTTACAAATGTGGATGGTTATATGTATTTTGAACCAGGCACTTTGGAGTATTAGTATAGAATGCTTTGGGTAGTTAGACTTTTGTATGCTGATTGAACCTCATAAAATGCCACATGCCTCATCTCTCTCCTTCTCTGTCTCCCCTCTTTATTTTTCCTCATCCTGCTCTCTCCTTGGCTTAACGTTCTTGTCTCCTGGTTCTATACCAGTGAAAGAGAACCACAATATTGCCTTCTCACCCACCTTTGGCCATCATAATGGCTTTTTTTCATGTAAAATGATTACATATCCAATTAAAGTGAACACCTGGAGGAAATAATAGCTGGACTACTCAATAATTTTAGGTTATGCTGAAAAAATAATTATTTCAGTCTTTTCTTCAGGTCAGTTTACTTGAAAAGAAATAATGCGTAATGGGTTCAGTCAAAGTCAGCCTGGCAATTTGCCTACAAACTATTGTCAGGCAGTAAATTACAGAAGTAGTTGATCATCACACATGCTCATCAGCTCACTAATAGAGAGAAGCCAATGACAATTTAGGGAGAAAATAACCAAAATATATATCACATTTATTCTATTCAGAACAAATCATTTTTTAACACTTATTTTTTTTTTCCCTAGTTAAGTTTCAATTTATCTGGGGCTCTGTCAGGATGACAGAAACTCATTTAGAATCCATGAAGACAGCTGACAGAAAGTGCATTAAAAATTAGATTTTGAATTCAAAGAATGAAAGCTTTAAATCACTACAGTCAAGTCAGTGGGACAAGACTGATACCAGATGCTATTTTGTTCATATTATTAAGGAATTATTCCAGCCTTGAAGAGACCTTGTCACTACACAGCTTCTGTCTATGTAAATAAGAATGAAGTGAGTATATCTGTTGTCAATGATAGAAACAGCCATCCATTGCCTCAAAACAACAGGCTGGTTCATTAGAGGAGAATGCTAAAAGTTAGAAGAACCCTGAAAGGTCATATATGCCCAATTCCCTCATTATGTGTATGGGAGGACTGAAATCCCATAGGAGACGGTTAGCAGGTGTATTAGACACACATGAACTCTTCAGTTTAAATCGAGTGGTCTAAGTAAGGGTTAAGCCACTCTGTTGATAGGGGTTTCGGGCAAGTCACTGGACAACCCTGGGCATCATTGTAGAGAATATTCATTTACCCTATGTGTGTTTTTAGTCTGTTCAGCAGCCATTCCACCTTCCTTCAGCACCTCACTTTATTCTTTGGGAACTACAGAAATCTTGAATTGCCTATGCTTTTTTTTTTTTTTTAATTTGGGTTTTAATTATGTAAATAAATAGCAACATGAAAACGAGGAGTTCTAAGGTTTGTACATTATCCCTAGGTGAAAGGATTTCAGATTAGTTTGCGTGTAGGATGGTACCACCCAAGATAACAGAGGTCTGATCTAGTATTTCCTGAAGAAGAAAGCCAATTTAATACATTCAATACTGACTTCTCTGACATTTTTCTGTAGAAATACTGATTTACTCTGTGGAGTTTCCAATGTGTACCTATAACTGATTAAGTTGTAGGTAACTTAATATAGGTAACTTAAATAAGTTAAGATGGGCAGATCATGGAGTTTTCTACTTAGTTCCAGGTGAATTCTTCACATTTCCTGGCTTTTGAAAGTTCTCCTTCCACAAATCTTAAACTCCAGTCATATAATCTCTCCCCACTGACCTGGGCAAACACGATGGTTTGTTGTGGATAATACAGGGAGGCAGCTAATCTCATGAAACCAGGCAGATACACTAGCTTCTTCATTTTTGAACCTCTAGTCAAAAGGAGTCCAATAAGGCCAGCAAAACCAATAACACCAAGTCTCGGAAAAAATCCAGGAGGTGCATTTTGGAGATAGTCATAGCTGTCTAACCCCCACTGAACCAAACTTTGCATCTTGGGCTTACTTTGGGAGTACGTGTCCTGACACCAGCTTGTGTATGGCTCGCAATAAGTGTCGGAGCTGTGAGAAGCTTTCTTCAAGCTGGTTCCTTGACTCCTCCACACACTGCGATTTGCCCTCGCGAAAGCTCGTCAACCTTCACGGAAGTTTTGGGAGGTGAGTCCTTTTTCGGTGCTGCACAGACTCTGAAGGTGAACAAGCTCCGGCTGGCTGGCCCCACGGACCCTTCTGAATTACCTTGAACATGTCGCTGGCAACTGCAGCTCCGGCAGGCTCACCCCAGCCTCGTCCACGCCCACAACAGAGAGGTGGCCCCGGTAGGGCCTTGATTTCTCCAACCGTAAGCGAGCCGCGGTGTGGGTGACTGCAGTAGGGCAAACTCGGTGCGGTGAAGGCTTGGTTCAATCACCCCTGCCTGTGCTCTTGATGGAACCTTCAATTCAGGTATCCTGCCCTCCTCTCTGGCACACAGTGTTAATTGTTGCCACAAGCTAAGTCCACCAGTCTCTCCCTACAGGGAAATGAAGTCCTGAGCGAAGTGACACAAATATGGAAAAGGTTTAGAACTGATTTATTCTGGTAGTCATCCCCAAAGCACTATCCATTTGTCCTGGTTACTACACCTCCAAAATTCCAATGTCCGAATTTTCCAATGTTTGTATTCTCTTTCCAATATCTGATTGTTTACGTTCTCCTTCAGTTCTATGGAGCTGCCTATGAACCTTCCACTAACACCCATTTTTAAGTTAATTGCAGTGGTCTCTGTTGCTTGCAACCAAAAACAAACCTAACTGATATATCGTACATGTGAAACTGTAACTAATATATTGTACATGTAAAATGGGAATAATTATACTTCGCTCACAAAGGTGGTGTCAGTTTTTTTTTTTTTTGTTTTGTTTTTTTGAGATGGAGTGTTGCTCTTTTTGCCCAGGCTGGAGTGCAGTGGCACCATCTTGGCTCACAGCAACCTCCGCCTCCTGGGTTCAAGTGATTCTCCTGCCTCAGCCTCCTGAGTAGCGGGGATTACAGGTATGCGCCACTACGCCTGGCTAATTTTGTATTTTTAGTAGAGATGGGGTTTCTCCATGTTGGTCAGGCTGGTCTCGAACTCCTGACCTTAGGTGATCCGCCCGCCTCGGCCTCCCAAAGTGCTGGGATTACAGGCATGAGCCACCGCACCCGGCCCAGTTTTTTTTAATATATAAAAATAATGTATATTAAAACTACTGGCTTGGATAATAAAACTTAAGAGGAACCCAGTCAGTATTGTTTGCTTGGTTTTTAAGATCCTTCCTATGTAGTCTCATCTTTATTCCTGGATTCTGCTGAGATGCTCAATGGATCCATGAGTCACATGCTTAATCTCCTCAAAGAACTCTCTGGGCGAGAACCTACGCACACCTTTTGGTCTTTCTGAGACACTGGGTAATAGTTGTTTAACCACACCCTTGACTTTCTGTTCAGAACACACTTTCCTAAGAATGAATCTTCTCGTTTTAGCTTCTTTTGCAAAATGAATAGGCAGAGAATTTCCCAAATCATGAAATCCTGGTTTTTGTTTAATAGTCTTCCTCAATTTATCTCCCTCCTCTTGCATTTTATTATAAGCAGCAAAAAGAAATCTGACCGTACTTTCAACATGTTGCCTAAAATATTCAGAAAAACAACCAAGTTATTTGCTTACAAGTTATGCTTCCACATAATTGTAGGACACAATTCAGCTAGGCTTTCTGTCACTATATTACAAGGGTCCCTCTCCTTCAGCTCCCCAAATCAAGCTCCTTATTTTTTTCTGAGCCCTCAGCAGCAAAGCCTTTAATGTGCATATTTCTACCAACATTCTGTTGATGATAACATACATATACTCTAAGATGATAGAGAGTTTCTCTCCTGTTCTCTTAACTTACTCCTGAGCCCTCATCAACAGAGCCTATAGTACCCATTTTTTCTACCAATAGTCTGTTTAAAGCAGTATAGGCTTTTCCTATCTAGCACCTCAAAATTATTTGAGTCTCTACCTATTACCCAATTCCACGGCCATGTTCACATTTTTAGGCATTTGTTACAAGATTTTTAAAGACATTTGTTACAGTTTTTAGGTATTTAGTTAAATATAGCATTTTAGATACTTGTTACAGGTCTTAGATATGTAGTTTTTAGGTACCAAAATCTGTATGTTTCCCATGACTGCTATAACAAATTATCACAAATGTGGTGGCTTAAAACAATTATTCTCTTAAAGTTTTAGAGACCTAATATCTGAAATCAGTATCACTAAACTGAAATCAGGGTGTCAGTAGGGTTACACTCCCTCTGGAAGCTCTAAGTGATAATCTGTTTCTTGCCTCTACCAGCTTCTGGTGGCTGCCACCCTTTCTTGACTTGTGGTCACATACGTCTGATCTCTGTCTCTGAAGCTACATTTCCTTCTCCTTCTGTGTCAAATCTCCTTCTCATAAAGACACATGTGGATTACACTGAAGGCCCACTTGGATTATCCAAGATAATCCCCTTATTCTAAGATCCTTAATGTAATCAAATCCACAACATCCTTTTCTGCCACGTAGGGTGACATTCACAGATTCCAGACAGTAGGATGTGGATACATTTTGGGGGTCATTATTTAGCTTACCACATGCTTCCTCTCTTTTTCTGGTTTTGCCTTTTCCAACTCTGTACAGAGTTATCTCTCTAACCGGCCTCAGTGTGACATTCTGGAAACTTTAAAATTTAGCTGACTAAAATAATGTCATTTAGGATAATATATGACATTGAAATTTAAATTTTGTTCAAGGGGCTTTATTTACTCTTGTTAATAGTAACTTTTAAAATATAGAACCAGATGGTGATTCAACACACACCACATACAAATACACACACATCTGCCTGTTAGCATAATGTAAACCTTCCACTTATAATTTTACAAAAATCAGTTGAGGACATGCATTAATCTATAGTAAATCTGGCAGGAGTTCTTCAATACAAGATTTTATATGAAGATGGAAATATTTATTTAGTTTGAAATAAACCAAACCAATCTGTACAGAAGAAACAACATAGAATTTTACTATTCCATACAATTGAACATTATTATGTTCAAATACTATAGAGGATAAAAAGTGAATTCCAGTATTTTTCCAATTCTTTTCCTTCTAAATAGTTGATGTACATTCTTAACCTATTTTAGCTATTAAATTGTTTTTCTCTATTATTCCAGGTTTCTCTTCATCTCTTTTGATCCACAGTCTGTACATCTGAGTCTTTTGTCCCATAATTTTTAACATGAAGTGTATACATTATTTTGTATTGCTGCTGTGAAAAATCATCACAAATGTAGTGGCTTTAAACAACCCAAATTTACACTCTTGCAGCTCTAGAGGTCAGAAATGTAAAATGGGTTAGCAGGGCTGTGCTATTTCTGTGGTCTCAAGAGAGAATTCATTTTCTTGCCTTCTCTACCTTCCTGAAGCTTCCTGCATTTGTTGATTTATGGCCCCAACTTTCTTCCAGCAGCATAGCATCTTCCAATCTTTGTCTTTCTTTGCCCAACACATCACTTTTTTTCTGACTCTAATCCTCCCCCCTCTCTCTCTGTGATTACAATGGGCCCATGAGCATAATCCAGGTTAATCTCTCCATCCCAAGATCCTTAAATCAATCACATATGCAAAGTACCTTTTATCATGTGTGGTAACATATTCATTGGTTCTGAGACTAGGATTAAAACATCTTTGGGGGTGGGGCACTATTCAGGCTATCACATGGAGTTTGCCAAAGTTCAAATCCATGTCTTTATTACTATTTGCAAAAAATCTTCAACGTTTGCTATCACTAATGGTCAAAACTGCATTGTTTGGTTTGTGTAATGAATAACTTTGAAGTGGAATCTGAGACAAAAATTGGACCTTTCATTTGATAGAAGCATAGGCTCCATGACTCTCCTAGGGTAAGATAATTAAACATTCATCTTAATTGCAATACATTTCTGACTTCTGTTTTAGTACTGCATGGCCCAGAATGTGTGGGCTATTTATACCCTTTTTGTGGGCCATTTATACCCTTTTTGTGAGAAGCAGAGCAAATAAAAGGAGGGCAACATTTGGAGCAGAGGGACCCCTCTTGCCCTGGTTAAGTTAAGAAGAAATGAACGAGGAACTCAGGGCAAGACCAAGAGAGGTGATTCATCAACTGGCCTTCAACTAGAAAGGAGAAGATAATCCTTTCTAGTGGTGTAGTGGAATGAACATGACAGAGCTCCCAGGTATGCAATTCTTTTAGCAAGCTGGTAGTATTGGTCAACTCACTTCACCTGTCTGGGTGAAGAGGTGAGCTGAGCTCATCAACCTCTGAAATCTTAACCAGTAGTAACTCTGAAGGATTAGCCTTGACATATACTGATGTTGCCTCTCTTGCTTAATATTTTATACTCATGAAAATATTAGTTTGTAAGTACTGGGGAGAAATGTATTTTAACACCTAACAGAATTGCTACTTCTGAGAAAGTGGTAGAGAGGGATTTATCAAAGTCATCTTGCTTGTAACAATAAGAAATGTCAGCAGAGGAAAAAAGTGAATAAAACAGTTAAGTATTTTGTAATCTGAGGCTGAAAGATGCTGCCTGAGTAGTGACGATTCATATTAAGGAAAAATTCTTCTCTTCCAAATCCCATCAGACAACATTACATGTTCTGCACAGAGTTTTACTGCTTACATGACTACATTTAATGGAAAATACGCAATCACTGGAAAATGCTGAGTGACTTGGGGCTTGTGGAAGTGTGTTCTTTGGTGGCAGTGAGAAATAAAAAGCAGTGCTTTCAACTGTGAGGGGAAATCGCTTTAATATTGCCCAAGGTTCTAGAGTGTCATTGCACAGCATTTTAAATAAACATTTATTTGTTTCATTTTATTTATTCCTTCATTTAATCAATCAGCAAATATTTATTAAGTGGATAGGCCACACACTACATTGAATGTTAAACAAGATGTAATGAATTAGATATAAACCGTATCTTTTAGGAACTTACTGTCTGTCTGGAATAAATAGGTATAGCCACAACTAATGAGGAAACGAGGTATAAGGTATAATTTGCCACATGGACCATACAGAAGTATAGATTAAGTGAGTGTCCTCTGTAGTAAACAGCTAGAATTTGAATCCCAGCTATAGGATTCATCAGCTGTGTTACCTGAGTGAATTATTTAGATTATCTCTGTGTGTAGGGCTCAATAGTGTTGAATATGTTACATGTAAAGTACTTAAAATAATATCTGCCCCAAACTAGTCTATGTTCTTGGAAATCAGAATAATAGTTACCTTTGGGGATAGAAGAAGGAATATGATTTTTTAAAAAAGGAGCAACAAGAGATTTCTGAGATTTAGGTAATGTTCTGTTTCTTGCTCTGGATGCTAGTTACAGTGGTATGTTTTCTTTGTGAAAATTCAACAAGCTGTATACTTATATTGTTTTTACGTATATATTGTTTTTTAAATTTAAAGAAGCTTTGAAAAGCAGTGCCTCCATCGTGGTATGTTCAAAACAAATATTTGTTATGCTCAAATGACAACTCTTAGAAACTCCAAGTGAAGCAGGGAAGGTTCTTGGCTTCCCTCAGGAAGAAATTCAAGAGCAAGCTGGCGTAGAAAAAAACAGCTTTATTGAGGTGGGCAGCAGTGTTACAGCTCTGTGAGCTCCTGCAGAGCAAGGCTACTCCATAGGCAGTCATATTTATACCCTTTTATGGACATGTTAATTAAGGGGCTGGTTATTCAGAAAAAGCTAGAAAGTAGGCAGTAACTTCCAGGTGTTGCCATGGCAATGGCAAACTGTCATGGCGCTGGTGGACATTCCTTATAAAAACATACTTTCAGTTCCTCTTTCCAGTTTCTGCCAGTCTCCAATCTAGTCCCCAATCGAGTCTCACCTACCTCCTGCCTAAAAATGAGGGGAACAATCACTTCCGACTGAGGCAATGGGCAATGATTTCAGGGAATAGGCCACTTCAACCAAATTCTCAAGGTTAGTTGGATTATGTGTATACAAAAATAGGTGTGGAATTTCTACTTTTAAAAAGTATGCCATGTATTCAGGAAAGCATATTGATTCAGGGTGTCGACTGTGAAGTCAGATATCAGTCTGAATAGCAGAACTATTGTTACTAGAAAAGGGTCCTGCTCCAGACCTCAGGAGAGCATTCTTGAATTTCATGGAAGAAAGAATTTTGGGGTGAGTCCATAGAGTAAAGTGAAAGCAAGTTTCTAAAAGAGAAGAATTTTCAACCCAGAATTTCATATCCAGCCAAACTAAGCTTCATAAGTGAAGGAGAAATAAAATCCTTTACAGACAAGCAAATGCTGAGAGATTTTGTCACCACCAGGCCTGCCTTACAAGAACTCCCGAAGGAAGCACTAAACATGGAAAGTAACAACTGGTACCAGCCACTGCAAAAACATGCCAAATTGTAAAGACCATCAATGCTATGAAGAAACTGCATCAATTAATGGGTGAAATAACCAGCTAGCATCACAATGACAGGATCAAATTCACACATAACAATATTAACCTTAAATGTAAATGGGTTAAATGCCCCAACTAAAAGACACAGACTGGCAAATTGGATAGAGTGAAGACCATCAGTGTGCTGTATTCAGGAGACCCATCTCACGTGCAAAGACACACATAGGCTCAAAATAAAGGGATGGAGGAAGATCTACCAAGCAAATGAAAAGCAAAAAAAAAAAAAAAAAAAAAAAAAAAAGGCAGGGGTTGCAATCCTAGTCTCTGATAAAACAGACTTTAAACCAACAAAGATCAAAAGAGGCAAAGAAGGCCGTTACCTAATGGTAAAGGGATCAGTTCAACAAGAAGAATTAGCCATCCTAAAAATATATGCATACAGGAGCACCCAGATTCGTAAAGCAAGTTCTTAGAGACCAACAAAGAGACTTAGACTCCCACACAATAATAATGGGAGACTTTAACACCCCGCTGTCAATAGTAGACAAATCAAAGAGACAGAAAATTAACAAGGATATCCAGGACTTGAACTCAGCTCTGGACCAAGTGGACCTAATAGACATCTACAGAACTCTCCACCCCAAATCAACAGAATATACATTCTTCTCAGCACCACATCGCACTTATTCTAAAATTGACCACATAATTGGAAGTAAAACACTCCTCAGCATTTGTAAAAGAACAGAAATCACAACAGAATGTCTCTCAGACCACATTACAATCAAATTAGTACTCAGGAATAAGAAACTCACTCAAAACTGCACAAATACATGGAAACTGAACAATCTTCTCCTGAATGATTCCTGAGTAAATAATGAAATGAAGACAGAAATAAAGATGTTCTTTGAAACCAATGAGAACAAAGACACAATGTACCAGAATCTCTGGGACACATTTAAAGCAGTATGTAAAGGGAAATTTATAGCACTAAATGCCCACAAGAGAAAGCAAGAAAGATCTAAAATCGACACCCTAACATCACAATGAAAAGAACTAGAGAAGCAAGAGCAAACAAATTCAAAAGCTAGCAGAAGTCAAGAAATAACTAAGATCAGAGCAGAACTGAAGGAGATGGAGACACAAAAAACTCTTCAAAAAATCAATGAATCCAGGAGCTGTTTTTTTTCTTGGAAAGATCAACAAAATAGACCACTAGCGAGACTAATAAAAAAGAAATGAGAGAAGAATCAAATAGATGCAATAAAAAATGATAAAGGGGATATTACCACTGATCCCACAGAAATACAAACTACCATAAGAGAATACTATAAACACCTCTATGCAAATAAACTAGAAAATCTAGAAGAAATGGATAAATTCCTCGACACATACACCCTAAGTAGAATCTCTGAATAGACCAATAACAGGTTCTGAAATTGAGGCAATAATTAATAGCCTACCAACCAAAAAAAGTCCCGGACCAGATGGATTCACAGACGAATTCTACCAGAGGTACCAAGAGGAACTGGTACCATCCCTTCTGAAACTATTCCAATCAATAGCAAAGAGGGAATCCTCCCTAACTCATTTTATGAGGCCAGCATCATCCTGATACCAAAGCCTGGCAGAGACACAACAAAAAAGGAGAAGTTTAGGCCAGTATCCCTGAAGAACAATATCCCTGATGAATGCGAAAATCATCAATAAAATACTGGCAAACCGAATCCAGCAGCACACCAAAAAGCTTCTCTGCCACAATCAAGTCAGCTTCATCCCTGGGATGCAAGGCTGGTTCAACATATGCAAATCAATAAACATAATCCATCACATAAACAGAAGTAACGACAAAAACCACATGACTATCTCAATAGATGCAGAAAAGCCCTTCGACAAGATTCAACAGGCTTTCATGTTAAAAACTCTTTAATAAACTAGGTATTGATGGAACCTATCTCAAAATAATAAAAGCTATTTATGACAAACCCACAGTCAATATCATACTGAATGGGCAAAAACTGGAAGCATTCCCTTTCAAAACTGGCACAAAACAAGGATGCTCTCTCTCATCACTCCTATTCAACATAGTATTGGCCTGGCAAGGGCAATCAGGCAGGAGAAAGAAATAAAGGGTATTCTATTAGGAAAAGAGGAAGTCAAGTTGTCTCTGTTTGCAGATGACATGATAGTATATTTAGAAAACTCCATTGTCTCAGCCCAAAATCTCCTTAAATGATAAGCAACTTCAGCAAAGTCTCAGGATAAAAAAATCAATGTGCAAAATTCACAAGCATTCCTAGACACCAATAACAGAGAGAGCCAAATCATGAGTGAACTCCCATTCACAATTACTACAAAAAGAATAAAATACCTAGGACTCCATCTTACAAGGGATGTGAAGGACCTCTTCAGGGAGAACTACAAACCACTGCTCAAGGAAATAAAAGAGGACACAAACAAATGGAAGAACATTCCATGCTCATGGATAGAAAGAATCAATATTGTAAAAATGGCCATACTGCCCAAGGTAATTTATAGATTCAATGCCATCCCCATCAAGCTACCAATGACTTTCTTCACAGAGTTGGAAAAAACTACTTTAAACTTCATATGGAACCAAAAAAGAGCTCACATAGCCAAGACAATCCTAAGCAAAAAGAACGAAGTTGAAGGCATCACGCTACCTGACTTCAAACTATACTACAAGGCTACAGTAACCAAAACAGCATGGTACTGGTACCAAAACAGATATATTGATCAATGGAACAGAACAGAGGCCTCAGCAATAACACCACACATCTACAACTATCTGATCTTTGACAAACCTGACAAAAACAAGCAATGGGGAAAGGATTCCTTATTTAATAATAAATGGTGCTAGGAAAACTGGCTAGCCATATGCAGAAAGTTGAAACTGGATCCTTTCCTTACACTTTATACAAAAATTAACTCAAGATGAATTAAAGACTTAAATGTAAGACCTAACCTAGAAGAAAACCTAGGCAATACCATTCAGGAAATAGGCATGGGCAAAGACTTCATGACTAAAACACCAAAAGCAATGGCAAAAAAAGCCAAAATAGACAAATGGGACCTAATTAAACTAAAGAGCTTGTGCACAGCAAAAGAAACTATCATCAGAGTGAACAGGCAACCTGCAGAATGGGAGAAAATTTTTGCAAACTTTCCATCCTACAAAGGGCTAATATCCAGAATCTACAAAGCACTTAAACAAAATTACAAGAAAAAAACACCACCATCAAAAAGTGGGCAAAGGATATGAACAGACACTTCTCAAAAGAAGACATTTATGCAGCCAACAGACATACGAAAAAATGCTTATCATCACTGGTCATCAGAGAAATGCAAATCAAAACCACAATGAGATAACATCTCACGCCAGTTAGAATAGCGATCATTAAAAAATCAGGAAACAACAGATGCTGTAGAGGATGTGGAGAAATAGGAACGCTTTTACACTGTTGTTGGGACTGTAAACTAGTTCAACCATTGTGAAAGACAGTGTGGTGATTCCTCAAGGATCTAGAACTAGAAATACCATTTGACCCGACAATCCCATTACTGGTTATATACCCAAAGGATTATAAATCATTCTACTATAAAGACACATGCACACTTATGTTTATTGCTGCACTGTTCACAATAGCAAAGTCTTGGAACCAACCCAAATGCCCATCAATTATACACTGGATAAAGAGAAGCTGGCACATATACACCATGGAATACTATGGAGCTGTAAAAAAGATGAGTTCATGTACTTTGCATCATTCTCAGCAAAGCAACACGAGAAGAGAAAACCAAACACTGCATGTTCTCTCTCATAAGTGGGAGTTGAACAATGAGAACACATGAAGATAGGGAGGGAAACATCACACACTGGGGCCTGTTGGGGGGTGGGGAGCTGGGGGAGGCATAGGGTTAGGACAAATACCTAAGGTAAATGACGAGTTGATGGGTGCAGCAAACCAACATGGCACATGTATACCTATGTAACTAACCTGCATGTTGTGCACATGTACCCTAGAACTTAAAGTATGATAATTAAAAAAAAGAAAGTAAAGAAACAAAAGAATGGCAACTCCATAAGCAGAGCAGCTTTGAAGGCTGTTGGTTGGCTATTTTTATGGGTATTTCATCATATGCTAAACAAGGGGTTATTTCATGAGTTTTCTGGGAAAGGGAATGAGGATTTCCCAGAACTAAGGATTCACCTTCCTTTTAGACCATATAAAGGTAACTTCTGGATGTAGCCATGGCATTTGTAAACTGTCATGGCACTGGTGGGAGTCTTTTGGCATACCAATGCATTATAATTAGGTATAATATGCAATAATTAGTATGTAGTGAGGATGACTGGAGGTCACTTTCGTTGCCATCTTGGTTTTGGGGGGTTTCTGCAGCCTTCCTTACTGCATCCTGTTTTATCAGTGGGGTCTTTGTGACCTGTATCTTATCCTGTGACTAAGAATGCTAATGTCCTGGGAATGCAGCCCAGTAGGTCTCAGTCACATTTTACCCAGCACCCACTCAAAATGGGAGTCAGTCTGGTTCTAATGCCTCTGACACTATGGTTTAATATGTTTTTATGCAAACTACTCAAACTTTTTGAAGCAGTTTTCTCATCTGTAAAGTGGGGATGAATGTTCCTACTTCACTGGATTATTATGACATCTAAATAAAATAGCCTATGCAATGCCTTTGTCATTAGAGATAAGAGCATTAGAAAAATTCAAGAAAAGTTGTGATGATAATGTAGTACAATGATACCTGAGCTGATAAATGTAGGTTTATATTGGGTATTGATAAATATCAGTTTCTCCTAAGGTGTAGCCTATAGATCTTATTTTTTTCATGAACTTTAAAGACATTAGATTATTCATTAGTACCAACAGACTTTAGAGATATTGAAGTGAAAAAAATATTGTGAGATTGTATGCTCATTTTTTCAATTTTTATTTCTAACAATCATTAACATTATATTTTGTGTTCTATTTTTATCTTCTCTGGTACTGTATTTATGAACTTCAATTTACTTAAATAAAAAGTAGTAATTACTACTAATTTTCAATTTCCTTTGAAGTTTAAAATATTACAAAAAAGCATATACATATCTTGGTATGAAATTTTACTCAACATCTCAAGCCCCAGTGCATTATTCATTACAAACAACAACAAAAAGCTAATGGGAAAAACAATTGGAATCCACTGAAGTTGAATTATCAGGACATATTTAACAAGAGAGCATCTACCAGAACTACGGTATGATGATAGAAATACTGCATCTGCCATTCTTGATTTGTGTAAAAATCAGCATAAAGGAAATTTCAGTTAATTCATTTGGTCATTCATTCACCCAACGCTAGTCAGTGAATATCTGTTCACATTTGTGGCTCAGGCACTAAAGGTAACATGATATGGATTACACGTACTTTCCCAGACTCCTCCAGCCAATACCTGCTCTTTGGAGGCACACTGACTTTTTTGTTATTCCAAGGTCTACTCACATGTTTGTGCAATTGTCTCTACTTGGAATGCCTTTGCTGTCTTTCTAATTAACCTTCTGCCTGTAGGTCTCCCTTCCCTTCTATTCAAATATAACCAGCATACCTGTTTTTCTACACTGAGTATGTATGTTTCTTATTCTGCCTTTGCTCAACCCTACCTCTATGTACTCAGATTCATTGTCTAGACGTTTCTTTCCTGCCCCAATGCTCAGAAGTCTGATTCCAAGTGCTTCCCCCATTTCCCTACTCTTGCTTTATGTCATTTGTTTTGGCTAAGTCTATGGTACCCAGAAAAAAATCGCAAGTCGTGGGATGCAGGAGTCAGTGGGAGAGGAGGCCATTCCTTCCTGTGCTCTACCTATTTTAAGCTTTGTTCCTGGCATGGCTGTGTCCTTCGATGATCCCTTTCCTGTTACACAGCCTTTCCTCCATGGCTCCAGTTCACATTGTACTCCAGTAACTCTCTATTTCTTCTTGCTCTTTATGTAATGTCTTTTCTGTTTTTATTATTTTTTTAAATTTTATTTTATTTTGTTTTACATTCTGGGATACATGTACAGGATGTGCAGGTTCATTACATAGGTAAATGTGTGCTATGGTGGTTTGCTGCACCTATCAACCCATCACCTAGGTGTTAAACCCCACGTGCATTAACTACTTATGCTTATCCTCTCCCTTCCCCCGTCCCCTGACTGACAGGCCTCAGTGTGTGTGTTGTTGCCCTCCCTGTGTCTATTTGTCCTCATTGTTGAGCTCCCACTTATAAGTGAGAACATGTAGTGTTTGGTTTTCTGTTCTGGTGTTAGTTTGCTAAAGATAATGGCTTCCAGCTCCATCCATATCCCTGAGAAGGACATGATCTCGTTCCTTTTTATGGCTGCATAGTATTCCATGGTGTATATGTACCACATTTTCTTTATCCAATCTATCGTCGAGGGGCATTTGGGTTGATTTCATGTCTTTGCTACTGTGAATAGTCTTGCAAGGAACACATGCATACATGTATCTTTGTAATAGAATGATTTATATTTCTTTGGGTATATACCCAGTAATGGGATTGCTGGGTCAAATGGTATTTCTGGTTCTAGGTCTTTGAGGAATTGCCACACCGTCTTCCACAGTGGTCAGACTAATTTACATTCCTGCCAACAATGTAAAAGCATTCCTATTTCTCCCCAACCTCGCCATCATCTGTTGTTTCTTGACTTTTTAATAATTGACATTCAGCCTGGTGTGAGATGGTATCTAATTGTGGTTTTGATTTGTATTTCTCTAATGATCAGTGATGTTGAGCTTTTTTTTTTAATATGTTTTTTGGTCGCATAAATATCTTCTTGCCCTTTTTGTCTTAGGGATGATAATGCATTACTACTGTTGCTAGTCTTTGGGTGCCTCAGTATCCCTTAACTCTGTTCACATACATGTGTGTATTCCCTCTGCATGTGGTTTCTTGGGCTGGATCTTCTTTCCTGCTGAAGGTCTTATACATTATGCATGGTGTGTAACTTTGCTAAAATTTTTAATCAAATTATAATAATCTTTTTAAACAAACATTTTTCTTTACAAGGATCTTCTGATTGTTAAGCATTTCTACTCTTTTTTAAAAAGAACAGTGCCTGCATGTAGTGGGATTAAATAAATGTTTTCTAAAATATATAAATAAATACTATTTATACCTATCTATATGTTTTTTCCACAAATTTTATGTAACAATTGAGGAGTTTAAAGTCTACCAGATAATGTATAATACTATAGGATGAACAGTAAGTGCTTTGTAGAATATTCAGTACCATACGATACTTAATACTAGAAGTATTAAGAGGAAACCAGAGTTATTACGAGACTTATTAGAAGTGTTGGAATTGGATTTTGAAAAAAAACTTTTTAGGTATAATTGATGACTTTGAAAGAGGTTGAGGTTGGTTGCTTTAGTTCCCTACTTTTAGAGGAACAAACAATAATCTGATATGTTCCACCAAAACGATTTTAGCAGAAAGGAAGTCTGAAATTATTTTAATAGAGAAATGGTACAGGGCTGATTCATCCATTTTGGAAGTTAATGTCAGAGGTATAACTTGCATTTCATTATTTGTATAGCTTGAAAAATAAGTCCTAAATAAAAGGTCCTTAACTATGAAGACACCTGCAAAGTTTATTTTGTCATGTAAGGTAATATATTCACAGATTTGTGGGATTAGGACATGGACATCATTGGGAACTTGTTATTCTGTTTATCACAGAATTTCTTATGTACGGTGTTTTCTAATGAAAATGTTATTTTCATTAGAATAATTGGATCTCTCAACTACAAATACCAGAAATACATTAAGAATTTTCGAAACATATCATATGTCAAATTTTGGAACTCCCTATATGGAAATTTAATGGAGCTGGTATTCATCCAACATTTACCGAGTGCCAGAATGGGGCTGAGAAAAAAAATACACAACAAAATAAAACAACAAAGTGGCAGGTAGAATTTACTTTAGTTGTCTTGTTTTTTTTTTGTTGTTTTTTTTTTTTTTTTTTTTTTTTTGAGATGGAGCCTCCCTCTGTTGCCCAGGTTGGAGCGCAGTGGCGCGATCTCCGCTCACTGCAAGCTCCGCCTCCCGGGTTCACGCCATTCTCCTGCCTCAGCTTCCCCAGTAACTGGGACTACAGGCGCCCGCCACCACGCCCGGCTAAATTTTTGTATTTTTAGTAGAGACTGGGTTTCACCGTGTTAGCCAGGATGGTCTCAATCTCCTGACCTCGTGATCTGCCTGCCTCGGCCTCCCAAAGTGCTGGGATTACAGGCGTGAGCCACTGCGCCAGGCTAGTTGTCTTGTTTTATAGGTGAGAAAGTTAGAAAGTAGATGTCAAATGAGTTGCTTATGTTCACGTCCATAGTAAGTGATATGACAGGAATTTGAGACCAAATTTGGTTTTAGAGTCAGTGATGTTTTAAGGGTACCACATAATTTTAACTCCTACCATTTTATACTAATGGATTATATATGGTCAGCAGGTATCAAATAATATCTAAGTTAGGGAACACCTGTTTTATTATATAGATTTAACATGTTTACGTTCAATATCAGTTTAAATTATAGTACAAATTAATAATATTAGTCAAAAGTTTACAAGTCAAATTGACATACATTATGCAAGTGCATTTTAGGGATTTTAGCATTTACAAGACAAACATTGATCTACCCAAATCAATATCTACTTATTATTTTGAGGCTTTGCTGGAAGAATCTAAAAATTAAAGATTGCAGTCCTTTTCTGCAGACACTAAATATTACCAAAAATAAATGATTACAAATGTATCAAAGATTGCTAAGTGGGTTTGGAACCCTTGCTTCTTGGTAAGAATTTTTAAATTGGCATTTTTTCAGCCTCTGCTTAATACAGACATGTTTTTGCTCTAAATATAGTAAACATCCATTCCACTCTATCCAAAGGACTGAGAAGTGTTTCAAAGATAGCCCACAAAATATCACATTATTTTCTGAGTATAGTCTTTAAAAAAAAACTATCTTGCAATCACTATTTACCATGATCAGTCAATATGTAGTCTTTGAGAAAAGAACATTAGCTTGTTGAACCATAATTCAAAATAAGTCACAATTTAATCTTATTTTAAAAACACTCTAGTTAATTGTAATTAATGTTTGACAGTTTGAAAGACATCTGTTATATTAACATAATGGTCTTATTGCACATGAAATGCTGCACGTTAAAAACTCAGCAGAGTTGAATGAGTATTTTGCAAGGAAAAGAAGAAAATCCTTGATAAAAACATGTAGTTCTGTCTATTGTTTGCTAAACAAATAGGACTTTTTTTCTCTTAACACGATAATTAATGAAATATATCTATTTCTTTAGAAGGGAAATAAACTTCCTGCTGTTTTGTTACAAATTGATCATTCTAAAGACAGTTTGGTTCTATGTTTTACAGTTTGAAAGTCATTGCTATACTTTGTAATTTCATGAATTTACTCATTGCCAGCTGTGATTGTTAGAGGTCACTTAGACTCTTGGATTATTCCATGCTATTTCAACAGTATTCTAAATAAACAAATAAATGAATGAAGCAAACTTCCTATACCAGATTTCAGAGATGATGCTAACATCCTATATAAAGCCTCTTCCCCTCATCGAATCTAAGATGTCAATAGTGCCATGGATGACAAACCCTTTCTTAAATCTATAATAAAAATCAAAAAGAAGATTTTAAAACATCAATATATCGATGCAGTAAGGAGTAACTCTGACATAAGAAATGTGTGGAGGCAAACTTTATAAATGCAAACAAATCTACATTATTCTCCTGTCTATTATCTATAGATTTGTGTTTATAAAAAGTTGTTTTCAAATGTAGCCTTGTGACTCACTTTCCAAAGCAAAAACCTAGGAGTGACTAATTTGGCAAAGAATTTATTTCACTAGGTGTTAATGTTTCTCCCTGTTTTAAAAAAATTGGGAACCTGAAATAAAGACACTAATTCGGTGTATTAAAATGATAAAAAATAGGGGAATAATTTTAAATTGGGACAATGTTAATACACAAAGGTGAACACTTACTAGAATTGGGCTGAATATTTTACTTAAGTTTCCTCTTAGGAAATTTAAAGAGGAACTCTTGGTAAGATGCAAGACTTTCGGGGTCCATAAATTTAATATTACCTATAGTTGATCCTACATTATTCAAGTGTTAATTAACACAGTGCCTGAAATGTAAAAGTCACAAATACATACGTGCTGAATTATCCAGTTTGCTGTAGACAGTGAGAAAAAAGTGGTTTGAAAATTCTGTGTAAAACTACAAGCCACTATTTAGAAGCATGGCCCAAATATGCCACTTCTATGCTCATGCTTCCACCTTTCCCAGAAATTTCTTTCCCTACCTTCTGTGCTTGGCTACCTCCTACACATATCTATGTGTGCATGGGCACACATAGCACAAAACAGTCTGATAGGTAAACAAAAAATCAAACTCTTCGCTAGGCATAAGACATAGCTAACAGTTACTACATACTAGGCACTGTTCTGGTGCTTAACATATTTTGATATGTTTATTTTTACAATAATCCTATGTTAAAAATGCTTTCACCGTATGATGTAATATTCTCCGTCTTTTAAACAGTGTCCATAAAACATTCTTCTAGTACCCCCCAGAGTTGATAACTGTGGGATGGTTCTACTTGCTTGGAATACTGCTTTGTAAATATTATTGGTTGAATTTTAGTTCCTCCAAGGATCAGAGCAAAAGCCATATCTTATAGAAAAAATATTTCCCTATTCTCCCAGTTCTGGGAGCTCTTCTCTTTACTCTTAAATAAATTTTATGAGAAAGATACTCAATGTATCAGTTAACTTTATTTGTATAAAAAATCCACTCCCAAAGTTAATTGCTTAAAATGGAAACCATATAT
This sequence comes from Homo sapiens, assembly GCF_000001405.40. Taxonomy (NCBI): domain Eukaryota; kingdom Metazoa; phylum Chordata; class Mammalia; order Primates; family Hominidae; genus Homo; species Homo sapiens. The sequence goes on from NC_000016.10 coordinate 59,772,184, forward strand.
TAGCTTTTGTTTTTGTAGTTTGGCAATTTGAGCTGGGCTCAGCTAGATGGTCTTTTGGTCTTGGCTGAGTTTACTCATGCATCTGTGGCTCTGCTTTAGAGACTTGGCTGGCCCTTGGCTGCAGTGATGGGGAAAACTGGGCCATATGCCTCTTGTCATCCAGCAGGGTAGGCCAATTTATAGTGACTAGACAAGTTTCCAAGAGTGAGCTGATGCACTGACTCTGAACGGGCACGATGTTACCTATGTTGCATTCTACTTGTCAAAACAAGTCACATGGACAGCATGGATTCAAGGTGGGAAATAAAGTCTACTTCTTGGTAGGAGGAGCCATAGAATCACATTGCAAAGGGTCCTGTATACAGATAGGGGAATAATTGTAGCCATAGTTGCAACCAATCTGTTCAGTCCACCAACATGTTGGATAATCTCCTTGAAGTTAAGCACATCATTTTGTACAGAGGGCCTGGAATATATTAAAGGTTAAATATAAGTTTTATGTCAGTGAATGGTGATTTTTAATTGCATACTTTTCCTTTATTCTTGGTTAAAATGATTTAAAAAGGAATCCAAATCACAGCTAATTTCCTGGTTGACTGTAATCACTTTGGGTCTTAAATCAAAACTAGCCTGTTTCTAATAGTTAATAGCGTGATTTCTCATTCTCACAAGAAGTATAATTTAAAGGTGAGAATCCACCAATGCATGATACACTTGGAATTAATTTTTTTCAGTTTACATTTTTGTGGAGAAGTAGATAGCACTATACATCAAAGTTAGAAGCATCTACTTTTGGTCAATGACACTTCTAGTAACTAATCCAAAGGATGTTTTGTCTTAAAGTTACCAAAGACATGTTTAAAATGATGTCGTAGTATTGTTGTTTATAATATATACTTCCCTTTAGTTTCATGCTAAAGTGTATACTTCTCTTACATATAAGTGAGATCATACAGTATTTATCTTTGTGTGTTTGTCTTATTGCACTCAATATAATGTTCTGTATGTTGTAGCAAATAATGAGATTTCCTTATTTTTTAAGACTGAACTGTCTGTGAACATATATATAGATCTCAATTTATTCATTCATCTGTCAATGGACACTTAAGTTGATTCCCTATCTTGGCTATTGTGAATAATGCTGCAACAAACATAGGATTGTAGACATTGTGCTTGAGAAGATGATTTCATATCCTTTGGATATATACTCAGTAGTGGCATTGCTGGATCATATGCTTGTTCTATTTTTAATTTTTTTAAAAAGCCCTGTAATGGCTGTACCAATTTACACTCCCAACAGTGTAAAAGAATTCCTTTCTCTCTACATCCTCACCAACACTTATGTTTTGACATTTTCATAATAGCCATTCTAACAAGAGTGATGTGTTATCTCATTGTCATTTTGATTTACATGTCCTGATGATTAGTGATGTTGAGCAGTTTTTCTTATGCCTTTTGTTCATATGTATGTCTTCTTTTGAGAAACATCTATTCAGATCCTTTGCTTATTTTTAAATAAGGTTATGTGTTTTTGTGTTTTTGAGTGGTATGAATTCCTTATATATTTTAGATATTAACTCCTTATTAAATATATGTTTTACAAATATTTTCTCCCAATTTGTAGCTTGCCTTTTCATTTTGTTAATTATTTCCTTTGCTGTGTATACATTTTTAGTTTGATATAGTCCCAGTTGTTTATGTTTGCTTCTGTTGCCTGTTTTTGGTGTCATATCCAAAAAAATCATTGCCAAGATTTATGCGAAAGGATCTTTCTCTTAAGTTTTTCTATGTTTTCTCTTATGTTAGCTTCTAAGGAGTTTTATGGTTTCAGGTCTTACGTTTAAGTCTTTGATCTATTGTGAGTTGCTTTTTATGTATAGTGTGATGTAAAAATACAATATCATTCTTCTGCATGTTGAGATCCAGATCAATATCATTTATTGAAAAGGTTGTCTTTTCCTTATTATGCATTCTTGGTGCCCTTGTGAAAGGGCTTATTTATCAAATATGCATGGATTTATTTCTGGGCTCTCTGTTCTGCTGGTCTTTGTGTCCGTTTGTATGCCAATACATACTATTTCAATCACTATAACTTTATAATGTAGTTTGAAATAAAAAAGCATGATGCCTCCAGCTTTGTTAATCTTGTTCAGGATTACTTTGGCTACCTGTGGTCTTTTGTGGTACCATATGAATTTTATACTGTGGGATATTAGGTGATTATATATATATAATATATTTAATATATATTATATATATTTATATATATATAATATATTTAATATTATATATATATTTATATATATTTATATATATAATATATTTAATATATATATATTTAATATATTATATATAATATATATAATATATATAATATATTATATATAATATATATAATATATAATATATAATATATTATATATAATATATATAATATATATAATATATTATATATAATATATAATATATATAATATATTATATATAAAATATATATAATATATAATATATAATATATATATAATATATAAAATATATAATATATATAATATATATTATATATAATATATACAATATATATATTATATATAATATATACAATATATATATTATATATAATATATAATATATAATATAATATATATAATATATAATATAATATATATAATATATATAATATATAATATATAATATATATAATATATAATATATAATATATATATATAATATATAATATATCATATATAATATATAATATATACACACACAGTATATATATAATACATAAACACACATATATATGTATATATAATATATATATATATATAATATATATACACACACAGATTTTTTGTCCATGTTTCCTGGCTCATAACATCCATTGCCTTTGTTACAGTATTTTGTTATAATGTTTGGGTGCTTTAAGCCTTAGGAGCAGGCCTCAGGAAATAGAATCTCTCTCTCTCTCTTTCTCTCTCTGTCTCTCTGACCTTATCCTTCCCTCCTTTCACCTGCCCAAGGTAAGACTTTAATCTGATTTTGAGGCATAAGACCCTTATTCCAGAAAGTGTCCTGCCCATACTTTGGAAAAAGAAATGCTAAACAGAGAGACCAAGAAGAATCTCTACACACAGGCCTTGCTGGGTTTACATCATACCCTTTTTGTCCAATCACATTTTGACATGGTTGTCCATGCTTCAATCATGGCCAACCAATGACATCTCCATAAAAGACCCAAAGGTCATGGTTCAGAGAGTTGTGGACAGCTGAACACGTGAATGTTCCTGGAAACTGGCGTGCTTAGCGAGGGCATGGAAGCTTTGTGCCCCTTCTTCCATACCTCGCCCTACCCATCTCTTCATCTCTACCCTTTGTAATAAACTGGTCAACATAAGTAAGTGTTTCCCTGAGTTCTAGGAGCCACTCCAGAAAATTAATTGAACACAAAAACGGGGTTATGGGAACCTCAACTTGAAGCCAGTCTGTCAGAAGTTCCAGAGGCCCAGACTTGATTATTGGTGTCAGGATGGGGCAGTGCAGGAATTATGGGGAGTCCTGGGAACTTAGCCCTCAACCTGTGGGGTCTGACACTATCTCTAGGCAGATAGTGTCATAATCGAATTGGAGAATACCCAGCTGGTGTCCACCGCAGAATTGATTGCTTGCTTGCTGGTGGGGAGAAATTCTCATATATTTTGGGATCACAGAAGTTTTCTGTGTTGATTGTTGTTATGTTGGTAGGAGAGCACAGGAAAAAGATGGTTTGAAGGTTTTTCCAGAACAGATTCTTTTTTTCTATTTCTGTGAAAATACCATTAGAACTTTGACAGAGATTGCATTGGATCTGTAGATCGCTTTGGTAAGTGTGGACATTTAACAAGATTAATTCTAATCCATAAATACTGCATGTCTTTCAATTTATTTATTTATTTTTCAGTTTATTTCATCAATGTTTTATAGTTTTCATTATGCAAGTCTGTCACCTCCTTGGCTAAATGTATTCCTTAAATATTTTGTTACTTTTGATGTTATTGAAAATGTAGTTGTTTTCTTGATTTCCTTTTAAACAGTTCACTGTTGATGTAAAAAAATGCTACTCATTTTCGTATTTTAATTTTATATCCTGCAACTTTACTGAATTTATTTATTTCAACAGTTTTTAAAATAGAGTCTTTAGAGTTTTCTACCTATATAATCATGATGTCTGCAAACACAGACTTTTTGGTCTTCCTTTATTATTTGGGTGTCTATTATTATTAGTTTTTTATCTAATATTTCTGGCTGGGACTTCCAGTAGTATATTGAATAAAAGTCACAGGAGTGGGCATCTTTGCCTTTTGCTGAATCTTAGAAAGAAAGCTTTTGGTTTTACTTCATTGATTGTGATGCCAGATACAGACTTTTCACTAAATGGCCTTTTGTGTGTGTGTGTTAAGTTCTTTCTGTACCTATTTAGTTGAAAATTTTTATCATGAATGGATGTTGAATTTTGTCAAAACATTTTTTCCCATATCATTGAGATTATAATATGGTTTTCATCTCTTCTTTTATTAGTGTGATGTATCGTATTGATTGATTAGTGTATGTTAAACTAACTCTGCATCGCAGGGATAAATACTACTTGCTTAAAGTGCTTTCAACACTTCGAATACTTCATCTGATTGCCATCTAACCTTCAAGTTCTCTACTGAAATATTCTATGCTAGTCTAACGATACTCCCTTGCATAAAACTAGTCACTTTTCTGTTGCTGCTTTCAAAATTCTTTTTGTGTTTATTTTTTGACAGTTTGATAATAAGGTGTCTCAGTGTGGGTCTCTTTGGATTCATCTTATTTGTTGTCTTTTGGGCTACCTGGATCTGTTTGTCTATTTCCATCTCCAGATTTGGGAAGTTTTCTACCATTAACTCTTTGATTAAGCTTTCTGCTTCTTTTACTTTCTCTTCTCCTTATAGAACTCTCACAATGTGTATATTAGTCTACTTTATAGTGTCCCATAAGTCCCTTAAGTTGTCTTTATTCTTTATTTTTCTCTACTCTTTATTCTTCATTTTTATTTCCTTTTTGCTTCTCTGACTGGGTGATTTTTAGTTCACTCATCCTTTCTTCTGCTTGACTGAGTATGCTGCTAAACTCCTCTACTGCATTTTTAATTAAGTTATCATAGTCTTCAGCTGTTTTCTGCTTGGTACTTTAAATAATTTTTTTCTATCTCTTTGTTGAAATTCTCAGTTTGTTTATTCATTGCTCTTACAACTTTAGTGAGCACCTTTATGACAGTTATTTTGATTCTTGTTGGATAGATTACATATCTCCATTTTATTAGGATTGGTTTCTGGAGATTTATCTTGTTCTTTTGTTTGGAGTATATTTTCCCATTTCTTTAGTTTCCTTAATTCTTTCTTTGGTTTCTACACATTAGATAAAATATCTATCTTTGCCCCTCCTCACAGACTGCCTTGTACAGAAGATGAACCTCGCCAATCAGCCCAGACTGATATTCTGTTTGCCTTCCAAGCTTTGGTGCTTGTCCAAACCACTGCCTTTGTTCTTAGTGGCTCCCAGTAAATCAGAGTATGCCAAATTCCATCAGTGCACCAACACAGGTGAGACAGAAACCAGTTTCTTGAGTAGCAGCCAGAAAAGTTGAGGTGCTAGATGCATGGCCCAATTCCTTCTTTCATCAGCGAGAAGCTAGGAGTTGAAGTTTATTATCTGTTTGTAGTGAGCATGGAGAAGAATTGTGGCAAATGCCTGCATTCTCCCTCAGATCATATGCAATTTCAAACCATTGCTTTGCTTTCTGTCCCCCATGGTCTTAGCAAATGCTAGGCCCCATCAGTTCTCAGAGACAGGAAAGTTAGAGGCAGTCCTTGGGTAGCAGCTAGAAAAGTTGGGGGGATTGATGACTATAAGCCGAGTTCCTTATAGTGAGAAGCTGCATTCTTGGTGTTATCAAAGGAATGAGCTGAGGAGAGGAGCCAAGGGAAGTGCTCACATGCCTGTTCAGTCGCTAGGCCACAGGAAGTGTCCAAATACCCATTCAATTTCAAGGAAACTAGTGATTTCTTGCCCTGTCAGCTCCTGGAGACAGGCAAGTTAGAAGCCAGATCCTCTGGAAGCAGCTAGAAAAGTCAGGACATTGGATATGCGGTCTGACCTCTTCCAGGGAGAAGCTGAGAGTTCAGCTTTGTTGCCTCCTTGCTTGGTGATGAGCTAGGAGGAAAAGGCAAGGAAAGTGCTATGCATTTGTTTAAAGCTACCTCTTTTTTCTTTCTGGTCTATGGAGACTAGTAAATGCTGAACGTCATTCAGAGATAGGTGAGTGAGCTTGGAGCCAGTCCCTTGGGTAGCAGTCATAAAAGTTGTAGTGCTAGATATGTAGTCTAAACAAACTCTTTTCTCCTCAGGGAGAAGCTTGGAGTTGGGGATTCCCTCCCAGTTGTATGGTGCTGTGCTGATAATGAGATTTATGACAAAAGTGTGTCTTACCCATTTTCTACCCATGTCAATGTGGAATAATTTTCTCATTTACCAAGTGTGCAGGAGACTCTCTACTAGTTTATGGATTTCTCTTAGAGGTATTCATCCATGCATAGCTGTTTATTCAGTGTATCTGTAGCTAGAGGGAGAGTCCAGAGCCTACTCCTCTTCTGTCATGTTGCTGATATCACCCAGGATAACTTTTCAAACAATGATAATTACTTTCCCAGGGATTAATGGTGGTGTTTGGATTCCTAAGTGTTTGTTCTCTCAATGTCCCTCACATTGAAATTCTTCTGATTAATTTTAGTGTTAGTCTGTTACTTCTTTTCCTGTTCCTTTAAATTTCTTTCTTTCTTTCTTTTTTTTTTTTGAGAGGGAGGCTCTCTGTCTCCCAGGCTGGAGTGCAGTGGTGCGATCTCGTCTCACTGCAAGCTCCGCCTTCCGGGTTTTACGCCATTCTCTTGCCTCAGCCTCCCAAGTAGCTGGGACTACAGGTGTGCACCACCTACGCCCGGCTAATTTTTTTTGTATTTTTAGTAGAGACGGGGTTTCACCGTGCTAGCCAGGATGGTCTCGAACTCCTGACCTCGTGATCCGCCCGCCTTGGCCTCCCAAAGTGCTGGGATTACAGGCGTGAGCCACCGTGCCCAGCCCCTTTAAATTTCTTAATATCTTGTAGTGTGCCTAACTCAGGTGTAGGAAAACAGCATGTTGCATGGTGAGAGTGATGCCACCTTGAAGCAAAACTGCCATGATGACCACTGTCTGACCCTCACATAGGTGTTCTGCAGGAAGGTCTTTAAACAGTGCCTGTAGCATAGATAAAACCTCATAAAGATGCTTCTCTAACCTACCCAAATGTTCATGATCCTTTGGCAAGAAAGTTTGAAGACATGAACAGCTTAACCTGTCTTATCCTAAAAGCTTGCTACTTAAAGGCTATTTTCTGGATGGTGAATATAGAGGATCCACTGTCTCACATTCACTCAAGGCATCATTTCTGTTCTTTAGTCCCTATTCCTTTATTTCTTTCTGAAAAACTGGATTTGTCAGCCTCTTTCTTTGGCCTCTCATCTCCCCCAGCCTTTGGGAATAGGTTTGCATATATAGGAGTTCAACCCAGAACACTCTAGTAACTGATATTTTTAATTTGATATAAAAGTATTTTGTAAACCAAGATATCAAATAGCAACCATTATCACAATTGTGGCAAGACAGGAATACATGGATTCTGAGTGAATATTCAAGAGACTCCCTTTTAGCAAAGAGTAATTGACCTCAGTGCATGCCCTCTGCAACATATATTTTAGAAATCCTGAGTTCTTTTTGCTTTTTTTCCTGATACTCAGTTGTGCACAAAGAATATTGAACATGTTTCTAAGCCAGAAGATTTTCAGCGTGAGAATTTTTAACAGAAATAACATAAATGTTGCAATTCACAGAGCATTTAGGAGTCTCAACATTTGTAACTTTGAAGAGTAGAGGGGAAAGAAAATGAAAGAACTTGAAATTTTAACATTTTCAAAGCTGTTCCCTTCATAAATTTTTCTTGTCTTAATATGGTGAAAAACTGATCTGACTAGTCATCTTTCATGCCTGGCTTAGATTTTTTTTACAAAGCAGTATTTCCCTGGCCAAATGGACCATCTACTTATTTATAAAAAGTGTTGTGGTGAGAAAGTTAAAACATACTTTCTCATTCTCACCTATGTGAAAAGAAAATAGATTGTTCCCTTAAGGACCTTCTCCAAATTGTCTATATTGTACAACACACTTACTATTTATTGAGCCCTTGGTAAACACACATCATTGTGAGAAATATTTTTCTTGAATTAACTTGCTTTGGATTTTTAAATGATCCTTTGGGAAGGAGAATATAATAATACTGATTTTATAAATGAAGGTACTGAGGCTCAGAGAATTTATGATATAGAGGTGACAGTGAGACAGAATGAGATAATTAAATGTCCAGATAAGTGATTTTTGAACCAATATTGATTTTCATGGGGGCACTTTGGAGTCTTGATATTTATAATTGTGAAGAGCAGAGAGGGTCCAAAAGATTACTATGAACTGGCCTGAGTTATTTTAAATCACAGATATAGGGGAGGGACTTACTACCAAAGTGACCTTCATATTGCTACGATACTTTCTTGGAAACACCATTCTAGTATTATAGACAAGATGGTTTGCTCTGGATGTGAGACCTTTGGGAAGGAAGAGTGTCAGTCCCCTTGATCTATCTGAGAGTATCTCTGTTATGTTGATAACTCATCTATTAAATACTTGGCTTAGTTTAGGATACTCTATACCCTCAACTTCAACCCATTGTAGGGTGGAGCAAAGATGCCCCTTGAAAAGGGAGGGACAATTTGGAGTTTTACATCTTGTGAAGTGGTACATTGGATTTAATCCAGAGTCATTTATATCAGTCTACTCTAAATGGGAGGCTTTAGGGAGAAGTCTTGCTAGGAGTGGAATTGAGAGTTGCATCAGTTTTGACGTTTTCTTTAATAGACAACTTAAAATAAGAAGAAAAGCATTGTGAAGTTTTGGATGGGATGAAAATTATGGAGATGGGTATGTGCAAAGTCAATGTGACACTAAGTTTAGAGTGAGATCCTGAAAGAGAAAAGCTTCTGTCCTTGGCATCCAATCAGAAAATATTAATACTGGGGGTGATGATCTTTTTTCCTGACAAGTAGAACAGCATTGGTGGAAAAGAAGAGCAGTGCAAAGAGAAAAGAGAATAATTGATGAGAAAACTATCCAACCCCATTTCCTGACAAAGCAAACCCACTTCTTCAGAAATAACAGGTAGAGCCAGCATAACTTAAAAAGACCAGTGATGTCAAATCCATGACTATTCAAGCTGCAGAATTTAGCCTTGGCAAATAAAGAAAAGGCTTCCAAGATATCAAAGGAGAAATTGTCATCAGGGGATGCTAAGGAGAATTGACACTGTGAAGGAAAAATAAAATTCATTCAATTAAGCCAAACTCACTTGAACACTTTGGTACTGAACATTGTGATAGGCTGGGAAAACAATGATTGCAGGATGTAATCATTACCCTCAAGGCAAATTCAGTTTGATAAAAATGAGGTTCTAGGAGTTGCACTTAAAAGCCCCAGAGTTACACAACTTACTCATTCTCATTCTCTTTTACTCACTCTCACTTGATTACACTTTCCAAGCAACAGGTGCCATTGCATAGTAGCTTTCATATTTTTAAGATGTAATTTACAGAAAAGATTGCACACTTTTTTCAACCTGCATGTCAGATTTTGTGGGGCTGTAGAGCCTCCTGCTGAGAAGAGATGTAAGTCATGAATGAACTCTGTGGGAAACAGCATTATGGAACAGAGATTTGGGTATAAAATGACAGCAGGGATGCCTATATACCACACACTCACCTCTTCTGTCTGTTAGATCTTTTGTTTTACACAAGCCTGTCTTTGGAATATTGAATATAAAAATGACTTGTGAACTTCCATGTACTGTACAAGCATAATGAGTAATCATACTTTATTATTTCTACAATCCACTTTTATGTGTGAAGCAGTGAGTGACTCTTGATGCCCTGTGCTAAAACTTTAAGGCCAAATATCTCCTTTATTCGGTCCTTGTAGGAGTAAGCAATAAAAAATGTTGCACACACCTCAATTCCTCTGAAAATCTTTCATAATAGGGCCTTATTTATACCTTTGTTATGGTACTTAATAAGTCATAATACATTTTGGAAGAGTTCTCAGACTATTCCAAAATGAGATGAGTTCCTTAGGGAAGAAGTTGTGTCATTGACTCTGGATGTCACTTTTATACACAAAACATTTTCAAAAGATAAATAAACAAAGAAATTATTACAAGGGAAATTGAAAAGAAGAGAGAAGTAAAATGGAAGGGAGGAAGGAAGGAAAGAAGGAAGGAAGGAAAGAAGGAAGGAAGGAAGGAAAGGAGGAAGGAAGGAAGGAGATTTCTGTTAGAAAAATTGGAAACAAGGAATAAACAACTCATACTTTCTTTGCTTATGAAACCACATGTTTTGTAGCATTAGTATCACCTTTCTACTACTGGTAGGAGATGAGGTCTGGGGTGAAAGGTGCAGAAATGGATTAAAAACAATGTGCTATGGGTAATGTTGCATGCACTAATATTACATGCTTCACTGCTTATCTGGTTATTCACTTTTTACACCTGTCCTCAGGGACCACATAGACGAGACATTTGATGTCATGATTTTGTGTGATCATCATTGTTAATTTGGAGGCAATGTTCGCCTTCTCTTTAGTTAAGTTGATAGGCCATGCTGGCAAACATGGTGTATTAAGCAGAACCTTGAATAGAGCAAATGTGGATTGAATATTGATAATAGATAAGCATTCAACCTGGGCTCATGTGGAGAGGAAGAGAATGTGGAATTATGGTAATTAAAGGCCCAAAATGTTGGTGATGTTTTCTAATGCAGGGATTGGCAAAGTTTTATTGTAAAGGACCAGTAATAAATATGGTGAGTTTTGAAAGTCATACTGTGTTATCACTACTCAAATCTGCCATTATAGTATAAAATCATGGTTGTGTTCCCATAACACTTTATTTACAAAAACAGGTGGCCAGCCCACAGGCCATAGTAGACAGTAATATAATATCCATGTGCTGCTAGAATTATAGTACTGCATCACTGTTAGTCATCCAGCCTTTTAAAAAAGTATTCTGATATCTCACTACCATATGAGTCAAGCTTTTCTAAATAAAGATGTGTGCGTATATAATGTGAAATTGTCATTTTTGTTATATGTCTGGACTGTGACCACACATTAATTTAGATCTAATCTTGGAAACAGCAGTGGAGAAGACAACTGTTTTCATGTGAGATCCTCTCCAATATTTGAAGATGGCTGCCATATTCTTTTATTTTAAATAGTCTTTTAAATTTAGAACACTTTTATATTTACAAATATCATTGTAAATATAATACAGAGACGTTCTACATATTCTATATGGTTTCTTCTATTGTAACATGTTAGAATAGTACACTTGTCACAATTAATGAACCAATATTGATACATTATCATTAACTTAATTTTATACATTATTCAGATTTCCTCATTTTTTCCCTAAATGTCTCTTTTTTTCCTCCAAGATCCCATCCAGGATACCAAATTACATTTAGTAGTCATGTTATATCAGACTCCTCTTTCCTGTGACAATTTCTCAGACATTCCTTATTTATAATGACCTTGAGAGTTTTGAGAATTACTGGTCAGTTATCTTCTAGAATGTCCTTCAATTGGGATTTGTCTGAAGCTTTTCTCATAATTAGACTGGAGTTTTGGGTTTTCAAATGAAGACTATAGAAGTAAAATACCATTCTCGTCACATCATATCAAGGGCACATACTTTCAACATGACTTACCACAGTTGATGTTAATATTAATCACCTGTAGATGTTGTGTTTGTCAGGTATCTCCACTGGAAAGTTATTCTTTTTTTCTCCTATTCCACACTGTATTCTTTGGAAGGCAATTGTTATGTGTAATCAACACTTGAGTGAGGAGTTATGCTCTGCTTCTTTAAAGGTGAAGTGTCTTCACAAACTGCAATTCTTCTGCATTGGAGATTTGTCTATCTCCCATTTACTATCTATTTACTTAATCATTTATATCAGTTTAGACTTACAGACATTTATATTTTGGATTATAATCCATAACTACTTTATGATGTTGCTCAAATTGTTCCAGCTTTGGTCACTGTGAGTTCTTTCAGTTTGCTCTTGTGTCCCTTTGACATACCTCAGTGACTGACTGTGTGTGTGTGTGTGTGTGTGTGTGTGTGTGTGTATTTATCACTTCCTTACCTTCTGGATCTATAAGATGTTCCAGGTTCATCTTGTATATTTCTTATCCCAGTCCTAAAATTAGACATTTCTCAGAGAAACCCTCATTCTTTTTATTGGAGAATGGTATTAAAAACCAAGTTCTGAGTGTTGGATGTGCTCATTGCTACTGAGATATTACAGCTTCCAGGACCTCTCAGTTGACAAGGAGTTACGTGTGTATGCTAACCCATGCACACACACATACCTGCAAGTATTTCTGTGCCTATAATAAGCTAAACATGAGTTTATACTGATGTCTCCAATTCAGATCCATTACTACATAAAATGCTCTTTTCATCTTCCATTACTTATCTGCAATATCCCTTTCCAACAGTGAAAAAACTTGCTTCTACCTCTGCCATCCATGTACTTAATTGTTCAATTCCAGTATACATGACACAGTGGTTTTAGAACCATTAACTTGTATACTTATGGGGAGCAACTTTATCAACTAGAATACAGTACTTATATACAGTTCCTTTTGCCTCTAGTCCTACAGACTTTATTCACATTTAAAGTTACTTGTATCAGCAACTTATTCCACCTATCCCACCACCCACTTCAGTGAGGTTGTTTCATAAATCTGTAATGAATTGTTTTTTGTCACATTCTACATTGGATCTTGGGATTCTCCAGCCTCTTAAATTTTTTTAAATTTGCGTTGGTTAAGTATATTCATTTTTGAAAATGTGAATATATTAACTATAGTCATCATTATAGTCATCATTACAGTGGCTTACAGAATAGTTTCACCACCCTGAACATGTTCAGTGTTTAATTTATTTAGCCCTCTCCTTTTCCCCACCCACTGTGTTCCTGGCAAGCACTGAGCTCTTCATTATCTCTGTAGTTTTGCATTTTCCAGAATGTCATATAACTGCAATAGTACAGTATATAGCTTTTTCAGACTGACTTATTTTGATTAGTAATATGTATTTAAGATTCATCCATGTCATTTCAGGGCTTGTTAGTTCATTTTTTTAAATCTCATATTCGGTTGTATGAATGCTCCACAGTTTATTTATCAATTCTTCCTTGGCAGAACATCTTAGTTGCTTCCATTTTTTATGATTACAAATAAAGACGCTGTAAACATTTATGTGCCAGTTTCTGTGTGGACATAAATTTTGAAATTAGTTGGGTAAATGCCTAGCAGTATGACTACTGAATTGTATAATGAGATTTTGTACAGTTTTGTAAAAATCTGCCAAGCTGTCTTCCAAAGTGGCTGTACCATTTTTCATTCTTGTCAGCAATGGATGAGAGTTCCCGTTCTTTCACATCCTCACCAGTAATTGCTATTGTTAAGCTTTTGGATTTTAGCCATTCTAACAGGTGGAGAGTGGTATCGCATTTTTTAAAAAATTAATTCCTTAATGACAAGTAATTTTCAATATCTTTTCATATGCTTTCATTTCATATGGTTTCATTTGCCACTTGCATATCTTCTTTGGTGGTGTCTTAAATCTTTTATCTATATTTTAGTTACTTTTATCATGAGTTTTTAGAGTTCTTTATCTACGTTGGATACAAATTCTTCATTAGATACGTCTTTTGCAAATATTTTCTCCCTGCCTATGGCTTGTATTTCATTTCCTTAATAGAATCTTTTGCAGATACTTTTAAAATCATAATGTTAATAATGTTCAATTTATGTTTTTTTCTATTACATGGTGTATTATTGATATTGTATTTTAATCTCCCCCCACTAAACCCAAGGTGATGTATATTTTCTCCTATGCTTTCTTTTTAAAGTTTTAGAGTTTTTCATTTTAAACTTAGATCTTATGATTCATTGAAATGAGGTTTTGTGCAAGGTTTAATGTCTGGCTTTGGTTTTGTTAATATTATTTTGTACATCATTATTATTTAATAGAGTGTTCAGTGTTTCTGGATTATTTCTTGTAAAGACTATCGTTTCTCCTTTGAATTGCCCTTTGCTCTTTCATCAAAGATACATTGACCATATTTTGTGAGTCTATTTCTTGGCTCTCTTTTCTGTTCCATACTTCTATATGTTTTTTCTTTAGTTCCTACTGTACTGTCTTATTTACTGTACCTTTTTAATAAGTCTTGAAATTGGGTAGTGTAAATCTCCTAGCTCTGTTTTTCTCCAGTATTGTGTTGGACATTCTAGGTCTTTACTCTTTCCATATAAACTTTATAACCAGTTTTTCAACATCTGCAAAAGAGTGTGCTGGGGTTTTATTGAGGTCGCTTTGAACCTTTAGAGCATGTTGGGAAAAAATGACATTTTAACAAGATTGAATCCTCCAATTCATGAATCTAGAATATCTATTTATTTCAGTCAAAGTATTTATTAATTTAGATTTTTTTATATTCTTATCAATATTTTTATAGTTTTCTCCATATATATCTTATATACATTTTCTTAGATTTATACCTAGATATGCCATATTATTGTGCTATTATAAATAGTAATTTTAAAATTCAAATTGCAATTGTTCATTACTGGTATGTAGAAAACCAATAGACTTTTGTATACTAACCATATATCCTATCTCCTTCTATACTTGCTCATTAGTTACAGAAGTTTTGTTGTTATTATTGTTGTTTTGATGATTTTTTAAAGATATTCTAGATAGATAATCATATCATCTGCAAAGAAAGCTTTATTTCTTACTTTCCAGTCTGTATACTTTTGTTTTCTTTCTTATTTTATTGTACCAGCTAGTAGTAATTCAGTGCACCGTTAAATAAGAATAGTGGCAGGAAACATCTTGCCTTCTTTTCTAAGCAAGAAAGCATATGGTTTCTCGCCAATAAGTATAATGTTTGCTGCAGAGTTTTTGTAGATGTTCTTATCAAGTTGAAGAACTTTCCCTGTGTCATTAGTTTGCTGAGAGTCTTCCTCATGAATTAATACTGGGTTTTGCCAAATTTTCTGCTTTAGTTAATATAATCGTGTATTTTTTTTTCATCAGCCTGTTGCATTGGTTACATTTATTAATCTTGGAATGTTAAAGCAAACTTGGATACTTGGACTAAATCCCATCTGGTTGTAGTATGTTTATTCTTTTTATCCACTGTTAGATCGATTTGCAAATATTTTATTGAGAATTTTTGTATCCGTATTCATGAGAGATATTAGTATTTAATTTACTTAATTGTTATGTCTTTATCTGGTTTTGGTATTAGGGAAATGCTCACTTTAAAAAATTTTCTTTTCTTGTTCTAATTGACATATAAAAATTATGTATTTATGGTGTACAACATGATGTTTTGAAATAGGTATATGTTGTAAAATAGTTAAATCAAGCTAATTAACACAATCATCATTTCACATATTTATTTTTGCAGTGAAAACACAAAATCTACCCTCTTAGTAATTTTGAAGTATATAATCAGTTGTTATTAATTATAGTCATCATGTTGTACAATAGATCTCTTGAACATGTTATTCCTGTCTAACCAAAATTCTTTATCCTTTGATTAACATCTCGCCAATCTGCCTCCACTCCCTCCCTAGTACTTGGTAACCATTGTTCTACTTTGCTTCTATGAGTTAGACTTTTTTTGAATTCATACATAAGCAAGATCATGGTATTTGTCTTGCAGTGCCTGGCTCATTTCACTTAACACAGTGTCCTCCAGGTTCATCCATGATGTCATAAATGACAGGATTTCCTTCATTTTAAGGCTGAATAGTATTCCATTGTGTATAAATTTCATATTTTCCTTATTCATTCATCCACTGATGAACACTTAAGTTGATTCCATATCTTGGCTATTGTGAATAATGGTGCAATAAACATGAGAGTGTGAATATTTCTTTGACATACTGATTTCATTTCACTTGGTTATGTACCCAGTAGTAAGGTTGCTGGGTAATACAACAGTCCTGTTTTTAATTTTTTGAGGAAACTTCACGCTGTTTCCCATAATGGTTGTACTAATGTACATTCCCACTAACAGTGTGCAAGGATTCTCTTTTCTCCATGTCCTCTCCAACACTTACTGATATTTTCAAATGTGTCAGAAAGTGTTCCCTCTAATTTTATTTTCTGGAAGTGATTGAGGAGAGTTGCTACCACCTTTTTTCTTGTTTCCTACAATTCACCATGTAAACCAGTTGGGTCTGGTAATTTATCTTTAAGATTATTAATAATAATATTATTAATATTATTAATAATATTATTAATAATAATCTAGATTGTCTTTCTCTTGTGTGTGTTTTCATAGTTTGTGTCATTCAAGGATTTGGTTTATTTCACTAATTTATTAAATTTGTGGGCATAGAATTGCTGGTAGTGTTTTTTATTTTCATTTTAATGCTCATTGGATCAGTAGAAAAAATCATTTTTTAAACTTTCTGGTATTTTATGTCTGATAATTTGTGTTATCTCTGTTTTATTCTTGGTTAGAGGTTTATCCAATTTCATTGATCAATCAGCTTTTGGTTCAGCAAATGTTTTCTATTTCATTAATTTCTGCTCTAATTTTTATTATTTTTCTTCTGCTTGCTTTATGCTTAACTTGTTCTAATTTTACTAGTTTCTTAAGGTGGAAGCTTCAGTTATTGATTTAAATTATTTTTCATTTTGTAATATATACATTTCATGCTATACATTTCTCTCTAAGCATTGCCTTTTCTGTGTCTCATACATTTTGATACATTATGTTTCTATTTGCATTTACTTCAGAAGATTTTAAAATTTCTCATAACACTTCTTTTTGACCATTGTTATTTAGAAGTCTGTGGGTTAATTTCCAAATACCTTCGGGGATATTCCAGCTATATTTCTATTGTTGAATTATAACTCAATTCCATTGTAGACTGAGAAAAGATAGTATATGATTTCTATTATTTTATATTTGCCATGATTTGTGGCCTAAAATGTGGTCTACCTTGGTGAATGTTCCATGCAAGCTGAGAAGAATGTGTATTCTGCTGTCGTTCAAATACCTATTCTATAAGCATCAATTAGATCAAGTTGGTGGTTAGTGCTTTTTAGGTGAAATATACTTTTATTGATTTTTTTCTGACTGATTTATCTAACAATTGCTGACAACGGGTGTTGCAATCTCCAACTATAACAGATTCTTCCATTTTTTCTTTTAGTTTTATCTGTTTGTGCCACACATATTTTGATGTTCTGTTGGTAGGTGCAGACACATTTACTATTATTTTGTAATTTTGTGGAATCAATCGCTTCATCATTATATAGGACCCCTTTTTATTACCGATGATTATCCTTCTTCTGAAGTCTGCTGTGTCTGAAATTAATAGTTACTCAGCTTTCTTTCGATTAGTATTAATGTGGTTTATCTTTCTTGATTTATATATTTTGAACTTATCAGAGTTTTTCCATTTAGAGTGAGTTTCTTGTACTGGGTTTCTCTCTTTTTTTTTTTTTTTTAAAATCTAATCTCTGTCTTTTAATTGGTTCATTTAGAGAATTAACATTTAAAAGGATTATTGACATATTTGGATGAATATCAAATATGTTTGTAATGATTTTCTCTCCATTACATTCTTAAAATTTTTACTTTTCCTGCCTTCTCTTGTTTTAACAGCATTTTATTTGATTCTGTTATATCTCCTTTATTGATATATCACTATTCTTCACAAAAATAATGGTTGCCTTGGAGTTTATAATATGCATTTTCAACAAGTTTCTAACCTGTATCATTTTCCTTCTGCCTGAAGAAAGTCATTTAACATTTCTTGCAAGTCTGGTCTCTGACAAAGGACTTCTTAATTTTTTTTTTTCCTGAGGAAGTCTTCATTCTTTCTTTACTTTTGAAGCACAATTTTCCTTGATGTAGAATTCTAGATTTGTGTTTTTATTTTCTTTCAACATTTTATTTCACTCTACTCTCTTTTTGAGCGCATGATTTCTGGCAAGAGGTCTACTGTAATTCTTATCCTTGTTCTTCTTATAGGTAACTTGTCTCCCCCACCCCCACCAACTGACTTATTTCAAGATTATCTCTCTGTGTTTGGTTTTGTGTATTTAAATATGACATCCCCAAATGTAGGCTTTCTTTTGTTGGGGGAGAGGGTATTATCCTATTTGGTGCTTTCTTAGCTTTTTAGATCTGTGGTTTAGTGTCATTAATTTTGAAGAGTCCTTGTCCATTATTACTTCAAATATTTCTTCCACTCCATTTTTTCTTTCCTCACCTTCAAGTATTCCAATTATGCCTATATTACAGCTTCTGAAATTGTCCTATAGTTCTTGGGTACTGTTGTACTTTTTATTCATTTTTCTCTTTGCATTTCTGTTTAGGATATTTCCATTAACCAATGTTTAAACTTGCTAATTTTTTCTTTGGCAATTTTTAATTCCTAATGAGCTCATCAAAGGCACTCTTGATTTTTGTTATAGTGTTCTTGATTTCTAGCATTTCCTTTTGATTCCTTATTGGAGTTTTTCCTCTCACTTGCTTATATTATCCATTTGTTCTAGCAACTTACCTATTTTTCCTATTAAAGCCTTTAATATATAAATCAAAGTGATTTAAATTCCTTGTCTGATAATTCCAACATGTATGTCTTATCTAAGTTTTGTTCTGATGTTTGCTTTGTTTCTTCAGACTGTGTTTTTTGGTGTGTTTTATAATTTTTTATGTTTAAAGCTGGACATGTTATATTGGGTAACAGGAACTGGAGAACATAGGCCTCAAGTGTTAGGATTTTGTGAGTCTGGCTAGGAGTTGGGCTTTGTTTACTGTTTGCTGGTGCTGTACAGTTCAGAGGCTTTAACTTCCTTTAGTATCATTGTTTTTGTCTCTCTTCTTGACTTTGAACTTCTCCAAATACTCCTCCGAGGGTCTATTTCTTGCAGCTCCTTTAACTGTTATCCACTGTTGGTATGGTGATAAGGTTTGGAGCAGGGAAGTTCTATATAATCTTTTAATTAAACCTAAGTCTTTTAGTGGGTCTGTTTTTCTTACCTATGACCTTCAAGATGTTTCTTCTTATATAGCCCCCTCTACTCTCTGCAGTTAATATAGAGAGACTCTATGTGGCTGCATGGTGAGGAATTCCCTTTTCCCATGTCTCTAGGACAGGCTCTGATAAATTATTTTTGCCTGGAGAGTTATAGATAAAATTATTGGCATAGTCACAATTATTCTTTATTCCTCCCCCTGCCAGGGCCATGTGAGGATCTTTCTTATATCTTTACCAAGAGCACTTGGTAATGTTTCTGAACACAAAGCCCATGAATATGTGGGGCCCTCCCCAAACTAGTCCACCGTCAACCTCTAGCAGTTGATCAAAATTGGCCTTTAAATGTTTCTAATTCTTTATGGCTTCAGCAGCTTCTGCTTCAGGTAAGCAGATCCTGGCTTGATTCTCTGGATTTGCCCTTCTCTCCAGGTTTCAGAGTATTGGTTTGTCCTGCTAACTCTATTCACAAATAGCCCCCCAAAAGATTATTGTTTTTCAATTTGCTCAGCATTTTCTTGTTATTAAGGATGGTACTGATGACACCCAAGCTCTTACAGCCAAAACTGGAAGTCCGTCATATGCTTTTGAGGGTTTGTTTTTCCTTTGTCTGGTTAAATGCCAGTTCTTTCAATTTTTTTTCATAGTTTATGATTTTCAAGTCCTTTGAAAACATTTGAAGGGTGGCCAAGAACAAAATTACTCTCTTAATTTGGGATGAACCCAACTGGCATACAATATTCCAGGTGTAGTCTAAGTAATATAGAGAATGATCATCTCATTTATTAATGACCTGAAGTAGCTTTTTTAGAAGGCTTAGTATTTTGTCTTCATTTTCCTCAGTGTTGACTATGGTAGTGGAAATATTATGGACACTTAATAGATTCTGTTTCTGGATGATTTTATGGAACATTCTGTTTTAAAATAATTCTTGTAAGTGTGTAGAAAAATCATGAGCTATGTTATCAGATTTTTTATGTATGTGTGGTATTGAAGTAGATTAGGTAATTCTTATACATTTTATGAAGAAATTAAAGTTTTATTCAACAATTTACAGAGCATTTTACAATATACAGTTTTTAAAATTATATCAACTTTCTAGTCTATAGAACAGGTCTTCTGTAAATTACAATGCAAACACATCTTCAACCTACCTTTTGGGATTGTTGAAGGATTCCATTTAATTTTTGAAAATATCTGGTAGAATGATTTGTAAATAGTAAGAGAAAATCAAACTATAGCTTGTCTCATCCTCATTTTATTGGCGAGAAATCTGTAGTGCTGAAAAACTACTCCCATTCCCAAAGTCATGCAATTAGTAGATAGATGACTAAACCTTTTATTGGATTCTGGTCTTTTCCCACCTCTCTATCAGACACTTTACAAAACACTACTATTATTTTGGGATATTTTTACCCTTCTTCTTCCGATTGAAAAACTACAGAATAAACACCAACAATTCCAAGATTCTGATTGTCTTTGATGTATGCATGAATCCCTTTCACAGCAAAATTTTCAAGAAACGTAAGCTGGACTAGGTTTTCTAAAATCCAGGTAGAGTGAGTCCTTCCACATTCCCAAGAGCCTGGCTGTGCTCACAGCAGGAAAGGACGTTGTTTGAGCCTCAGCCACACAGCAGTGTAGCCCTTAATTAAATGATGCTGCAACATATGGGAATTAGCAAAGAGATTAAGAAACTAATAAAGCAGAACGTAGTAATGTTGATGTAAATGGAGGGGAACTCCATGTTGGCAAATCAAAAAAAAAAAAAAAAAAAAACAGAGAGGGAGAGGATAACCCATGACAAAGTATAGGATTATAGAACAAGGATCTAAGCATTGAGTGGTAAATAGGAACCTAAGGTCATTTAGCCCAAATCAGATTCTACATTCCAACTAATGAGGACTTTTAATGGGGAGGTTGCCTAAATGCTTTTTGAAAACTCAAGTAAATGGAAAGACACAACATTAAGAGGCAGCTTATTGCCTTACAGTATTCATTTTCTCAGTCTCCCAAGTTCTCATTACTCTGTTCAACAGATGCCTATTGAAGCTTATCATGTGCCTCTGCTGTCCTAAGCATAAAATTTATGGGAAATAAGACAGACATGGTTCCTGACCTCATGAAGAACACGTTCATGCCTGTGAGAAAGAATTTCTTATATTAAGCCACGATGTGTCTCTAATTGTTCCTCATGATTTCTTTTAATCCTTTTAATTCTGTAAGACAGTATAATTTCTTACTATGTGACAATGTGTCAAATAATCAAAAGTAGCTGTTGTGTTCTAGAATATCTTCCACCTTCTTGGCTAAATGTTCCCATTTTCTTGAATGTCAGGTTATATATTTTTGGATTTATAACAAAGGTATTAAGTTATCCAGATAATTTCAGAAGGAGTAAAAGGGAAAGGACCTATCTTTATTGTATTTCTACCATGTGCTAGACCCATGGATAGTCTCGTACATCCAGAATGTGAGGCCCAAGAGTGTGTAGACCTTGTTCACTGCTATATCCCAATGCCTCAAGTGGCATCAGGAATATACTATGCACTCGGAACCTACATGAAGAACGAAAATACCCGATCTTTATATCCCTTTTAAGATGAGGAAATTTGTCAGGTATAAGAGAAGTATTATTCTAGCAGGTTGACAGACCCTACATAGAACCTAGTATAAGCAAAGTACTGCTACTATGGCCCTCACTAACACTGCTAATATCAAGAATTATTATTTAATAGGTCATAAAGATGGGAAGTGACATAACTAGATCTAGGGTTCAAACGATGTCTTCAGAGATGTATTTTCTTTCTACCTTGTAGCGTAGCTTGATTTCCACTGACTTATTGTTTTCTTTTCTAAAAGCAACATCTTCTCTAAGTACCAAAGGGGACCACAAACAGCTCTAGGCTTACTACACAAACCTGTTATGAGTCACAGTTTTAGCACAATGCATAACTTCGAACAATGCTTTGAACAGATGTATTCATGAAAAATGTTGCAGACCAAGTTTTACTTTTAAAAATTATTTTTGTTGGAAAGAAGACAAATTTCATGGAACATGTAAGTTATTTAGTTATAGCAGAATTGTGGAATAATCAAAATATTCCAAAGAATTGAATTCTATTTTGTAATGTTTGGAGAAACTGATAAAGCTGGGCTGCTCCCTAATTGGATTTACCTTTGCATGGAAAAACAAGAAACCAATGTCCGTATTTCCTTGAGAGACTAATGAAGGCTGGAAGGCAGTGAGCACTGGTACAAATGACAAAGCCAAAGGATGAGCAGTATGATCTTGAATTAGAGTAGTACAGAAGATCATTATTATTCCAGGCAAGGTATTAGGGAGTGAAATGTTAACAATGTAGTGGGTTTCACCTAATTTTCATGTTGTATTACATATGCAGTAACAGAGATACAATAAAAATAGCTAACAATTATTGAACAGTTTATGTCAAGCACTACTTTTTAAAATTTTTGGTATATACCTTTATAATCCTTACAAAAGCCATGTGGACCGGCAAACTACATTTCCATATTTTGGATAAAAATAAGATGCACTGGTAGATTCAGAAATGTACCTAAGGTTAAGGTTGCACAGCAAATATATAATGAAGCCAAGGCTTATAATCTGACAATCTGACTTTAGAACCCACACAGTTAAGCATTAAAATATACAGCTTGAAAATGCAATTCCAAGATAGAATTAATTTAGCAAAAGCTTTGATTAATTACATTGCAGTAGTGCTTCTAAGAGTAGTTGGATTTCCAAGGATAAATAGAAGATAAGGGAATGGACATTTTAGACATGTGCAAAGGCATGGCATATTTGGGGAATTATAGTTCGGTATTCTTCACTTTTAATGGGTGAGGAGAAAATGATGGAAGGATATGTTGGAAAGAACAATATGGACACTTTACATCATTTCTTATATGCCATATTAATAATGAAAACCACATTTTGAGTCACTCTGCATTTTCAGAGTATTTTTGAACTCAGAGATACCAGTATTTGCCACTCTGTATTTCTCACCCCCCACTCTACTCCAATTTAGAACTTGGTCAAGGGGAAGGAGAATAAATGAGCAACTCCAAAAAGGAATTACTGCCATTCACAGTATCTCACCACAGCCCATTTACTGTATATGATTTTATATGTTCCATGAAAGTGTTCACATTTCAGAGCATTTAAAACAAATGAGACATTTATTAGTGTAACCTTTATTCTGGTGATGATTTAAGCCATTTCAAAAGTAACTAAAAGGGAATCACCATTTCCCTCACACTTCAGTCTTCCCCATGTCCCCACCAGCCCACAAAATGCTTCAGTAATTTTAACTTTCTGTACATCTTCCCAAATACCTGCATAAATAATCTATTGTTCTAAAGGTCACAAAGGTAGAAGATCACTTTGAAATGTCAGGAAAGTAAATGAATTGGCAATGTGGTGCCATAAGTTTGGAAATGTCCATTACCTCTTTATCTTTAGATACAGGTGGGCATTGGAAAACATGAGATAGTTGACCTGCACATGAAAGCTTTGGGGTACTTCAAGAAACAGAAGAATGCCTAAAATTGTGTAGGCTGTAACATAGCCTAACCACTTCTGCCCAGAACAAAAACTATCAAGTGTCTAGCAGACATAGCATTTTTGCTGGCCTTCTTGTCTCTGCTCAGATGGGATAAAACCTCATTGAAACACCAAGTCTTAAAAGACAAAGTTCAGCCACAGACCTATTTCACATTAAAGGCCACCCCGTGACCATGGTCTTAAGAGTTCACTCACAACTTTCAAACATCCCATGAATTTGCAGTTAATGGGAAGTTTGATAAATTCTCTCATCTTAACTGCTTTTCAGAACTGCCGTCTTTCTTGATAGATGTAACAGCCTAAAGAAAAGATTTCTAAGATGTTAAATATTACCACAGGGTTGAACATCCCAAATTATTTTTGCATATTACCTGGGTAACTTTTAATCACATTCTCATAGACATATGGAGCATTAGAATTGGACACATTGTACAGACCTCAGAGCCAGATCTGAACTATGAGGCTTACTGCGGGCGGTGGGGGGCGCATGGGGGAGGGCAAAGACAGATCAGGTACATAATAAAGGACTCAGAAATAGGATAGGAACCATGACCTCTTCCTAGAGATTATGTGTTTTTTCCAACATTACAGGGATGCCCACTCTCCCACTTTGCAAATTAACCACTTTCCCATGTGGGCTGGAAACCAGAAGACTAAATGACCTCAATTATAGCCTGTAGCTGTAAATAAATAAATTTTTTAACATTGAAAGTCTCCCTCCAGTACCATCTGTCAGAACTGAGCTATGTCCAGCTACAGAACTATGAGGGCAAGGTCTATTGCCCATAGGAAGCTTCATCCTCATTTAGTCCTGGTGAATTCACAGCCCATTTCTCAAGCAGGTACTAATCTTTCAGACTGGGATTTTGATCAAAATATTTTGTCTGGCAATGGTTGTACTGAGCACACCTTTCTGCAGTTATTATAAGACAATCAAGGGTGATTACACCATACTTGATCATTTTCCTTTGTCAGACTTTACTATTCCCAAATTCAGACAAATCTTTATGGTGACTCATGATACTCAGACTCAATGAAAAACTGCTTATTACTTGGGTGGAAAAATAATCCGTACAGCAAACCCCCATGACACAAAATTTACCTATATAACAAAGTGGCACATATGCTCCTGAACCTAAAATAAGTGTAAAAAAACAAAACAAAACACTAGATTCAAATGGGAAGAGAAAGGTCTGAAGTATCTATTATGTGTTACACAATGTGTTAGCTCCATATAAGTAATGTAGGTAATAATAGCCCCATTATTCAGAGGAAGAAGGAAGGTTAGATAGCTTGTCCACGTTATTACACAGGTGTTATGCAGGCCCAAGGTGTTACACAGGTAGTATATAATAGACTTACACTTGAACCTATGACCATCTGACCAATGAATGGAAAATTACAGCTTAGCTAAAGAAGAACCCCAATTTAAGAAAAGCAGATCAAGCATTGCCTAAAAATAGGGTTAACATCTTCTTTCAGTTTAGCATTCTTATTTATAAAATGTGTAGAAGAAAATGTTTTCACAAGAGAAGTAACCCATAAATCAGTAACCCATAAATCACTCTCTAAGAGCTTTAAATGTATATTTAGGTGCAAAACGTAATAATAATGTGAAATCATGAACTATTTTCAGTCTTAGAATAAAAGCCTTGTTTGTCAATTTCTAATGGGGATGTAAATAGGAAGAAAAACAGATCACACATGTGCTTCTTGTGGGCCAGTGTGTGCTCCTGGTGAAAATGTGGCCCTCCTTGACTAGAAAATTTTCAAAGGATTCCCAATGAGAATGAATCTGGGTCCTTATCCCGACATACACAAACTTGCCTTCCTCTCCAATTTCATGTCTTCCACCACTTGCTCTCACCTGATTCTCACCAGCCTGCACCAAGCTTGAAGCTACCTTTGCACATGCCAACATTTTCCTGTTTCAGGATCATTACTGGAAAGCTCTTTCCTCTAAAATCTCTGTGGCTCACACCTTCCCATCCTCTGAGTTCACACTTACGTAGCACCTACTCAGGGAGTAGTTTCCTGTGCTTCCCTTGTCACTCTCTACTCCCTTGCCCTGATTTATTTTTTATTCTAAGTAACTCATTTACATTATTTTTATCTTATCTGCCTAGCTGACTAACTCACAAGCTTGACGAAGACAAGGGCTTTGAGTGTCTTATTTATTTATTTATTTATTTTTATTCCCATATGTTTTTGAGGAACAGGTGGTGTTCATTTACACAAGTTCTTTAGTGGTGCTTTGTGAGATTTTGGTGCACCTCTCACCCGAGCAGTATACACTGTAACCAATTGGTAGTCTTTTATCCCACACCTCCCCCCTACTCTTTCCCTCAAATCCCCAAAGTCCATTGTATCATTCTTATGCCTTTGCATCCTCCTAGCTTAGCTTCCACTTATGAGTGAGAACATACGATGTTTGGTTTTCCATTCCTGAGTTACTTCGTTTAGAATAATTGTTTCCAATTCCATCCAGGTTGCTGGGAATGCCATTATTTTGTTCTTTTTGATGGCTGAATAGATAGATAGATAGATCCATCAGTCAATGAGTGGATAAATAAATTGTGGTGTATATATATATATATATATATATATATATATATATATATATATATAAAACTGTGTATGTATATCACAATTTATTTATCCACTCATTGATTGATAGACATTTGGGATGGTTCCATATTTTTACAATTGAGAATTGTGCTGCTATAAACATGTGTGTGCAAGTATCTTTTTCATATAATGACTTCTTTTCCTCTGGGTAGATACCCAATAGTGGCATTGCTGGATCAAATGGTAGTTCTACTTTTTGTTCTTTAAGGAACCTACACACTGTTTCCCATAGTGGTAGTACCAGTTTACATTCCCACCAGCAGTGTAAAAGTGTTCCTTTTGGCTGCATCCCTGCCAACATCTGTTATTTTTTGATTTCTTGATTATTACCATTCTTACAGGAGTAACGTGGTATCACATTGTGGTTTTGATTTGCATTTCCCTGGTTATTAGTGATGTTGAACATTTTTTCATATGTTTCTTGGCCATTTGTATATCTTCTTTTGAGAATTGTCTACTCACGTCCTTAGCGCATTTTTTGATGGGATTGTTTGTTCTTTTTTCTTGCTAATTTCTTTGAATTCCTTGTAGATTCTGGATATTAGTCCTTTGTCAAATGTATACATTGGGAAGAATTTCTCCCACTCTATTGGTTGTCTGTTTGCTGATTGTTTCTTTTGCTGTGCAGAAACTTTTTAGTTTAATTAAGTCCCACCTATTTATTACTGTTTTTGTTGCATTTGCTTTTGAGTTCCTGGTTATGAAGTCTTTGCCTAAGCCAATGTCTAGAAGAGTTCTTCCAATATTATTTTCTAGAATTTTTATGGTTTCAGGTCTTTGATTTAAGTCCCTGATCCATCTTGACCAGATGGATTCACAGCTGAATTCTATCAAACATTCAAAGAAGAATTGATATCAATCCTATTGATACTATTTCATAAGATAGAGAAAGAGGGAAGCCTCCCTAAATCATTCTATGAAGCCAGCATCACCCTAATACCAAAACCAGGAAAGGACACAACAACAACAAAACTACAGAGAAATATCCCCGATGAATACAGATGCAAAAATCCTTAACAAAATACTAGCTAACTGAATCCAACAGCATATCAAAAAGATAATCCACCATGATCAAGAGGGTTTCATATCAGAGATGCAAGAATGGTTGTGATACACCACATAAACAGAATTACAAACAAAAATCACATAATTGTCTCAATAAATGGAGAAAGAGCATTTGACAAAATCCAGCATCGCTTTATGATTAAAACCATCAGCATAGAAGGGACATCCCTTAATGTAATAAAAGCTATCTATGACAAATCCACAGCCAACATAATACCGAATGAGAAAAATTTGATGGTATTCCCTCTGAGAACTGGAACAAGACAAGGATGCCCGTTCTCACCACTTCTATTCAACATAGTACTGGAAGCCCTAGCCAGAGCAATCAGACAAGGGAAAGAAATAAAGGGCATCCAAATTGGTAAAGAAGAAGTCAAACTGTCACTCTTTGCTGATGATATGATCGTATACTTAGAAAACCATAAAGACTCCTCCAAAAAGCTCCTAGAACTGATAAATGAATTCAGCAAAGTTTCAGGATACAAAATTAATGAACACAAACCAGTAACTTCTGTATATACCAACAGTGACCAAGCAGAGAGTCAAATCAAGATCTCAACCTCTTTTATAATAGCTTCAAAAAAAAATAAGTAAAATACTTAGGAATAAACCTAACCAAGAAGGTGAAAGACCTCTACAAGGGAAACTACAAAACACTTCTGTAAGAAATCATAGATGATACAAACAAATGGAAACACAAGCCATGCTCATGAATGGGTAGAATCAATATTGTGAAAATGATCATACTGCCAAAAGCAATCTACAAATTCAATGTAATTCCCATCAAAATATCACCATCTTTCTTCACATAACTAGAAAGACAATCCTAAAATTCATATGGAACCAAAAAAGAGCCCACATAGCTGAAGCAAGACTAAGCAAAAAGAACAAATCTGGAGGCATCATATTATCTGACTTCAAACTATACTATAAAGCCATAGTCACCAAAACGGCATTGTACTGGTATAAAAATAGGCACATAGACCAATGGAAAATAATAGAGAGCCCACAAATGAAGCCAAATACTTACATCCAACTGATCTTTGACAAAGCCAACCAAAACATAAAGTGGGGAAGGGACATCCTATTCAACAAATGGTGCTGGGATAATTGGCAAGCCACATGTAGAAGAATGAAACTGGATCCTCATCTCTCACCTTTGAGTGTTTGGTTCACTGTTGTATCCCACCACATGGGAGAATGCCTAGCACAGAGAAGGCACTTAATAAATGGTTGCTAAATTAAGAAATGGGCTGTTATTGTCACTCCAGAATAGTCATGTCTACCCAGGTTGCCATCTTCCAAAAAAATGTCGCTGTCAGTTAAACCTTGGAAACTTCATTGTAGGCTTTTGAAGACCCACAAAAACCACCAGATTATTGCCATTGTAATGGCAATAATGCAAAAACAAAGTAATAGTAGAAAAAAATAACTACTGAACATTGATTATAAGGCTGATATTGCACTACAATCTAAGTTCCATAATTCAGGCTTTGCAAACATCTTTACTGATGAAGAATCTGAGGCTCTAAGAAGTTATGTAACTTGCTCAAGGTCATCTATTTTTAAATGATGTGGTTTAAATTCAAAACTACTTTATTTGTCCTTATATCCTCCTCTTTGTATAGTACTGTTAGTCTGAATGGCAGTGATAAGAAGAATAAGCAAGATTACACTTTATTATGGCAAAACTACTTTGAATTGCAGTCATTGGTCACCTTCCCCAACTTCATGTGCTACGGTAACTGAAAGATCAGAAAACTACTAACGTCAAACAACGATATACATCACATACATAATAAAAACACAATCAACACAGCTGCCCCAATGATATTTTGACCTGAAAGAATGCATGCATGAAACTTTTTTCTGTACCATGCCCAACAGACCACTTATATTTCCAAGCTAATCAGAGGGGCAATGTGGGAAGATTCAGACCCTTGAAAAGCCTTAGCAATATCCACTGTTTTTCCATATAATGTACTAAATCCTGCCTTTCAATGTCTTGACAGCTTTTTATTTGAAAATCTTTCTCATCTTCAAATACTTTACTATTTAGTTTTTTATCCATTAATTCAAAAATATTGATTGTGATTTCTCTTACATGTCATGCACCACAGTACTAAGTGAGAAAAAAATGTTCAGATTCTCTGCACTTCAGGGGCTTGCAGTATGGTTTGGTAAAGAAATCTAAGCAGGCAAATGAACAATGATCTAATTTTAACTTGCACTAAACATCGTGAGGGCCTCGAGATGCTATGATAGAGAATAATGGGTGAGGGGTAACCCTTAAATAGGGTGGAAAATTAAAAGATGCTTTAAGTGGGAAAGCCTACATCGAGGACTGAAGGACAGGAAGAAGCCAGGCACATGAATGCCATGAAGAGATTTTCAGATAGAGGAAGCAGTAAGTGTGTAAGTCCTAACACTGGCTAGCTCAGCGATGTGAAGACCTGAATGGAAATTGGGTAGCTGGCATAGGGCAGGTGAATGGAAGAGTAGAA
Organism: Homo sapiens; assembly: GCF_000001405.40. Classification (NCBI taxonomy): domain Eukaryota; kingdom Metazoa; phylum Chordata; class Mammalia; order Primates; family Hominidae; genus Homo; species Homo sapiens. Next base: position 59,802,246 of record NC_000016.10, read on the forward strand.
TGAGCAGAGATTTGAAAAGTCTACAAGGGTCAGACTGTACACTATGTAAGAGCTTTGAGTTTCATTTGAAATGTAATTAGATCCTTAATGCTGACCCTAGAAGAAGTTTTAAGCCGAAGAGTAAAATAGTATGCAGTATACATTTTAAATGCTCACTATATCTCCTATGCAGAGAGCAGATTTGTGTGGAGCAAGAATTAGGAGGCTGTGAGTCAGTTTGGTGGCCATGGATGTGGTAGAGGAGAAATGAAGACAACTGGACTCCAAGCCTACCAACCTAAAATTCAAGACAGATGGATTCAAGGTTCGTAATGGACTTCAACAAATTTCTTTTTCTTCCAGACTAGGTCATTCATGCTTTCTCCTCTTAGACATGAGTTGAATTTGTGAACAATGAGATATCATATTGCCAAAGAGAGAAACACATTGATTTTTCTTACAGTGCTAGTCACAAAATTTAAAGGAGAAATGAGTGCATTATCAAATTTGCTAAAAGTGACAATAATAGTAGTAAAAATAATCTGAACAGTTGAAGAAAATGCAGAACTTTGCCCCACTAGATCCTATTACTTCTTCTTCCTGCCATTCCATTTTGCAACGTGTTTGTGTAGCAGTAGAGGGCTAATGGTATTCCCAGAAAGGCAAAAGAATGTGGAATAGCAAAGTATTCCCTAAATAATTTCCACAAAGAAAATGAAGAGAAGATTTGTATGTATGAATTAATTTCTGTCTACCATACACAGTGAAACACATTTCATATGTGTTCTCTTATGTATTTGTGGTCCCATCTTTCAAATGAAGAAATAGATCTTTCTTCCACAATCCTCAGCCATCAAATGGGAAATTATAGGTACGAAGTTACCTTCAAGACAACAAGTAGCAAGCCTTTATTGCCTTACCACATAGTTTCTTATTTGAAAATAATAGAAGTATACACAAAATGTTTTGGCTTTCTACATTTTTATTACCATTGACATTGTAACCTTGAAAACTATAAAGGCTCACAGCTATATAAGATAATTTTAAAACACTGTCTCTATTCATAGCATTTACATCTCCTCCAGACCTACAACGTTAAGTCAAAGACAAATCATAGCTATGTTTTATTACCTGGAGAGGGTTACTGCAGTATTTTAACTATGAGCACCTGAATTTCCTTCTTTTTCTCCATAGATTTGGTTTGGACAGTACTGTATAGTGGAGGTTGGCCCAGGAAAGACCGAGAGAAGAGTAGGGAACTGAGATCAGGAAGAAAGAAAAACTAATACATTTTGTAGTTTCAACCAAGATATCACTGTGAGCAGCTGCAGCTGAGGTGAAACTTGCTGGGGAATATTGGAGAACAGTGTAGAACGTCAAAATTATTCTATCCAAGGGGGAGAAAGCTAGAGTATTTATATAACCATTCCCATCAATTATTGGTTGTGGGTTGCCCTTGGGGTGGTAAGGAGCATTAATTCCCTGGCATTTCTTACCTGCTATGCACACTGAAAGAACTGGTTCCAATGTCCAGAGATGCTGACAAAGAGATGAAGGTTCTGGGAGTAGGAGGGCAAGTAGGTGCACAATTGGGCACATAAGGGCAAAAAAGCATCAAAATGTTAACAGTGTTATTTATTAATGGTGAGATAATGGACAATTAATACATGTATTCTATTTATGTATTGATATTATATAAATATTTTATCATAAACATGTACTACATATGAAAATAGAATAAAATAATAGCCGAGGGATATTTTTTCCTGACACTTCAGCATCATTATCTAGGTACCATGCTATTAAGAATAGACACTTACGTACTTTTTAAAAATGCCTTCTAAAGACTCCATTGCTGAAAATCTAGTGTCACATTAATTAATTGCTTTTTATTTAGTTCTTCCTTTTTAGAGGGTTCATATAAGAATTGGGTTTGATTTCATTATTATTATCATTTTTCAGTTCACCATTTTACATCAGAGGACACATACACTGAGCCAAGACCCTAATTTATACCATCACTGTAAGACATCTCAACTGAACTCTGTGTTGTTAAATGGTGGTGGTGGGAGAAGGGCTTCCTGCAGAGGAAGGAATAGGTTTCTGTCCTATCTGAAGCTTTCTGCCTGTAAATGTAATAATAATCCCTTTGGGCCAAGGGAACTATTGCCCAGATTAATATTTAGGTGTAAATTGGAAACAATTTTAATCTAATAGGAGGAAATCAGAAAGTTTTCATTATTGCATATTTTATATAGTCAGATTCACAGATGTATTACCCAATGTTGGATATGTTACTGGTTTTGACCTAATTTCAATACCAAAAAAATCATACTAATGTATGTTCTTCTTTTATTCTTTAATTATTGTCAGAATGTGACACTTAAAAGGTGAAAAGTTTTAATAGAAGAATGATCATTTATTATTAAATTACACCATGATAAATACTTCATGTTAAAACACAAAGAAATAAAGTTTGAAGTTCTTTTCCTATTTTATTCCAAATAAGAGATATTACCTAATTACTTCAATGTTCTGTATCCATGATCCTTTTTGCCTCCTATTTATCTATCTATCATCTATATCTGTCTGCCTGCCATAAAATGCTTAAAATTAATGACTCAAGTTTGTGCTTTAAGAAGTTAGAGAAGGAGGAAGTATTTAAAATCAAGGAAAATAATATAGCAGAAATATGAAAAAAATAGAACAGAAATCTATCTAAGATAAACAACATTAAAAAATCAACAAAGCCAAAAGTTGGTGCTTTGAAAATGTTAATAAAATTATGAACACATCTCTAGTCTGAACCAATCAGAGAGCTAGAGATGGCACAAGAGTGAGAACAAGCAAGCAAGTGACCAGCAGGAGAGAAAACGTGCAAAACGTGACCAAAATTGAAGAGGAGATTCCAATGTAAACTTTAGTCATCTTCAAGGGACAATAAGGCAATATTGGAAATTAAATTGGATAACTTAGATGAAATGTACAAATTCCTTGAAAATCCTACCTTAGCCCAAACTGAAATACAGAAATGGTAACTTTTGTTGTTGTTGTTGTTGTTTTGAGATGCAGTCTCACTCTGTTACCCAGGCAGGAGTGCAGTGGCATGATCTCAGCTCACTGCAACCTCTTCCTCCCAGGTTCAAGTGATTCTCCTGCATCAGCCTCCTGAGTAGCTGGGATTACAGGTGTCACCACCACTTCCAGCTAATTTTTTTTTTTGTAAGAAATGGTAACTTTGAAGGGCTCTATAACTACTAAAGAAATTAAATTTTTAAAGTATGATTTTATTACATAAAAATGAAAAATAGAACAAACTAATATATTCTTTAGGGATAGATGATAAAACTATAGAATAAAGTGAAGGCAGAGTCATTATGAAAGTCAAGATTAAGGTTACCTATAAAAATGAGCTGGAGCAATGGGGGAGGGCTTTTAAAGTCCTGGGAATACTTTACGTCTTTAATTGGCAGGAGATTTATGTGGATATTTCCTTTATGATTATTAAATACTCATACTTTCTTTAGTGTGTGTGTGTGTGTGTGTGTGTGTGTTTCAAATAATCACTCCTCTTTAGGTAGATGTTCATGGGACATAATCAGGAAAGCTGTTTTCATTGATATTTCCCAAGGTCAGCCTTATTATCTTCCCAGGGACTTCCCACCACTCCCCTGGTAAACTTACCATATCTCCTTCCAAGATATCTCTTCACCCATAAATCCATCATCATGACTGATGGGCCCATGCTCTGATAACCCAATATCTGAAAGCAAGCCATGCAAGAGTGAACATAGTGTCTTTTATTCCTGATCTCACTCAGAAGACATTCAAAGGCAAAGCCAAATCCTGGAGGACAGAAGATAGTAATGCAGTCTCATTACCCCTTTTGAGATCTGTTTCCTCAATCACAGCTTCCCGCAACACACCCAACTCATAGCATCCTTGCCTCCTTCAATTCTGCTGTGCCAAGCTCTCCCCATGGGCACTCAATCCCCATCACTTGTCTTAAAACAGATGCCTGAGGGTCATAAACCTTTCTCATCTATCCTTTTCTAGGACCTGAGCCTTAGTTAGTGATTTTTCAATACTAAGAAACCTTCTTGAAACAGGCAAAATATAGCAAGATATTTTTGGCTTTTCTTTTTGATTATGTCCCAAGCCCTCAACAGTGAGCATTGTAATGGGCACTTTATAGATGTTCACTCATCAACTTTTAATTAATTAACTAACCCCTGTGAAGCATTGCACTCTAAACTTGTGGTTCTGGTAGAACATGGGATTGCTTTAGACACCCAGCTATCAAATTATAAATAATTTAAAACATTCTCATACAGAAGCGCCAATTCTAAATGGCTTCACTAGCTTTCAAGTAATAGAAAATTAATGACTAATATTATACTTAAAGACAAATGGAAAACAACCACCAAAACTTTAACAACATATTTAAAAAATTGAATTTACCAGAATATAAAATAGGTAATACATTCTGACCAAGACAGATTTATTACAAGAATGTTAGAGTTGATCAATATTTTATGCAATTTACACATCGGTGCAGAAAAAAAGTCAAAATTTAGCATCTATTCTTGATAAATGCTCTCAGAAATCTAGATATAGAAAGGAATGTTCTCAATGTAATAATATGCATCTATAAAAAGCCTTAACTGAATAACATACCCACTGGTTGGCCCTTTGGGAAATCAGAAAAAAATAAGAATATTGCCTCAAGCATTTCTCTTCAACATTATACTAATGATCCTAAACAAGGCCATAAGGAAAGAAAAATAAATGAAAGATAGAATTTAGTAATTATGAAGTAAAAAATCTTTCGACTTGCAGATGATTATTTATCTAGATAATCAAAAGGATCTCAAAATAATAAACAGATGTAATAAGTTAGCAAGGGAGAGTGACATCAGCAAGATGGCAGCATTGGTGATGTAAGCCTTTTTTCTCCAACAAATAACAACAAATAACCACAAATGATGTGAACCTAGTGAGAGCTCAAGGGTCCATTTAAAAATCTGCAGCAATGCAGCAGAACAAAACAAACAAACAAACAAACACAAAACAAAAAACAGGAGACTAACCACACAGAAAGAATAGCTGGGGACATTGGCATACCTGAGAAGTCTGGTCATGGCTAGAAACAAGGAAGGATGGAGGCTATCAGTGTCATTAATGCAGCAGGTCCCATCATGGTCTGCAGCAGACTGCCCTGCAAAGGACATTGACATTTTTTTTGACACTGAGGTAACTAAGAGCCCCCTCTGCCACAAATCCCATGGTGAGGGAGAAATGACTGTGTCCACCTCCAAGGAGTTGCTATGGTGCCACACTAGGACTGAAGCTGCCACTCCACCCAACCCTATGTGTACCCCTGACCCCAGAGCTACAGTCACTCCATACATGCCTACACTCCAGAATCCTGCTCTGTGGCCTCAATGCATTTGTGCCTCAAACACTAGAACCACTGTTGCTGTGACCTAGCCTCTATGTGAACCTTGGAGCCCTGGTCACTCTGTGCATACCTGTGCTTTAGACCTTGGCTTGACAGCTGCAGCAGTTTCTATAAATTTATGCCTGTTCACCCTCCAGATACCAGGTCCCTGACTGATCAAGAAGACCATAATCTTACAAACCACTATGAATGTGATAGTAAGATATTTGTGCCTCAGACGTTGATGACACTGCTGCCCCAGATCCTGGAGCCCCAGTAGCTCCACAAATACTCATGCTTTAGAACTTTGATCTGTGGCTGCTCCAAAGGTGCCTCACATCAGACACCAGTGCCACCACCATTGTGAGCATATCTGCAATCCATATCTGGTACCAAGAGTCCTTGTACATGACTTCTTCAATAGGAGAAAAATAGATCAGGAGGACCCCAGAAGCCTTTGTCACCAAAGACCCCAACATCCCTGCAGACACCCATAGCCTTGGCAACTGGACACCTTTGTAATCTTTACCAACATTGATGTCAGCTAACAGAGACGTCTGGAGACTACACTGTTGTGTCCTCATGAGAGGCAGAATTGCTGTAGCTCACCAAGCTGGTGCCCTCACACCCACACCCACAGGGGAAAATTTTTTCTCACTAAAACCTATCCATAAAGTCTGGAAGAGGTGACTGCTGCATCCAATGCACAGATAACAATGCAAGGCAGCAAGAAACAAGAAAATCCAAGGAAATACCACCAAAGAACACAATAATTTAAAATAACTGCAAGCCCCCATGGAAATCTACAAGTTACCTGACAACTCAAAATAATTGCTTTAAGAAGCTCAGTAAACTTCAAGAGAGCACAAAAAGTTAATTCAACGAAGTTTGATTATTTGAAAATCAAATTCAATAAAAATAATACATGAACAAAATGAGATGTTTAACAGAGATATTGAAATCATAAAAAGAGCCAAAAAAGTCTACACATGAGGAATACAATGAATAAAGTAGAAAATGCAATAGAGAGCATCCACAGCAGCATTGATCAAGCAGAAGAAAGAGTCCATTAACTCAAAGACAAGATATTTAAAACTATTCAGTTAGAGGAGAAAACATAAGAGTAAAAAAAACCCTACAAGATTTCTGGAACAACATAAATAGATCTAACAGTTGCATTTTAGAATTAAAGAGGGACAAGAGAGAGAAAAAAGCACAGAAGATTGTTTTAAAAAAAAATACTGAGTGAAACCTCTCCAAATTTGGGAAAAGTTATAAACAGTCAAGTACAAGAAGTTCAAAGGTCTCCTCAGATTCAACTTAAAGAAGACTACACCAAAACATATTATAATCAAGGTATCAAAAATCAAAGATAGAGCAAGAATCCTGAAAGCAGCAAGAAGAAAAAAATAATGTCCTCCCATACCAGGGAACACCCATAAAGCTATCAGTGAATCTCAGCAGAAAATTTGCAGGCCAGGAGAAAATGATAATATATTCAATTGGATGAAAGAAAAAAAAACTTGCAAAATAAAAATATTTTATGTAGCAAAACTGTCCTTAAGAAAGAAAGGAAAATAACAACATTCCCAGACAAGCAAAAGCTGAGGGAGTTCATCACCACTAGATCTACCTTATAAGAAATGCAGGGATTCCGTTCCAAGTTGGCCAAATGGGAACAGCTCCGGTCTGCAGCTCCCAGTGTGACTGACGCAGAAGATGAGTGATTTCTGCATTTCCAACTGAGGTACCTGGTTCGTCTCACTGGGACTGGTTGGACGGTTGGTGCAGCCCATGGAGGGTGAGCTGAAGCAGGATAGGGCATTGCCTCATCCGGGAAGCGCAAGGGGTCAGGGGATTTCCCTTTCCTAGCCAAGGGAAGCTGTGACAGATTGTACCTGGAAAAATGGGACACTTCCGCCCAAATATTGTACTTTTCCAGTGGTCTTAGCAAACGGCACACCAATAGATTATATCCTACGCCTGGCTTGGCAGGTCCCCCGCCCATGGAGCCTTGCTCACTGCTAGCGCAGCAGTCTGAGATCGACCTGCGAGGCAGCAGCCTGGCAGGGGGAGGGGTGTCCGCCATTGCTGAGGCTTGAGTAGGTAAACAAAGCAGCCAGGGAAGCTCAAACTGGGTGGAGCCCACCGCAGCTCAACAAGGCCTGCTGCCTCTGTAGTCTCCACATGTGGGGGCATGGCATAAGTGAACAAAAGGGAGAAGAAACTTCTGCAGACTTAAATGTCCCTGTCTGACAGCTCTGAAGAGAGCAGTGGTTCTTCCAGCACAGTGTCTGAGCTCTGAGAATGGACAGACTGCCTTCTTAAGTGGGTCCCTGATCCCCGTGTAGTCTAACTGAAAGACACCTCCCAGTAGGGGCCAACTGACACCCCATACAGATGGGTGCCCCTCTGAGACGAAGCTTCCAGAGGAAGGATCAGGCAGCAATATTTGCTGTTCTGCAGCACAGCCTCCACTGGTGATACTCAGGCAAACAGAGTCTGGAGTGGACCTCCAGCAAACTCCAACAGGCCTGACTGTTAGAAGGAAAACTAACAAACAGAAAGGAATAGCATCAACATCAGCAAAAAGGACATCCACACCAAAACCCCATCTGTAGGTCACCAAGATCAAAGACCAAAGGTAGAAAAAAATCACAAAGATGGGGAGAAACCAGACCAGAAAAGCTGAAAATTCTAAAAATCCAGAGAGCCTCTTCTCCTCCAAAGGATCACAGCTCCTTGCCAGCAACAGAACAATGCTGGATGGAGAATGACTTTGAAGAGCTGACAGAAGTAGGCTTCAGAAGGTCAGTAATAACAAACTTCTCCGGGCTAAAGGAAGATGTTCAAACCCATTGCAAGGAAGCTAAAAACCTTAAAAAAAAGATTAGATGAATGGCTAACTAGAATAAACAGTGTAGAGAAGACCTTAAATGACCTGATGGAGCTGAAAACCATGGCACGAGAACTATGTGACACATGCGCAAGCTTCAATAGCCATTTTGATCAAGTGAAAGAAAGGGTATCAGTGATTGAAGATCAAATTAATGAAATGGAGCAAGAAGAGAAGATTAGAGAAAAAAGAGTAAAAAGAAACAAACAAAGCCTCCAAGAAATATGGGACTATGTGAAAAGACCAAATCTACGTTTGATTGTTGTACCTGAAAGTGATGGGGAGAATGGAACCAAGTCGGAAAACACTCTTCAGGATATTATCCAGGAGAACTTCCCCAATCTAGCAAGGCAGGCCAATGTTCAAATTCAGGAAATACAGAGAACACCACAAAGATACTCCTCGAGAAGAGCAACTCCAAGACACATAATTGTCAGATTCACCAAGATTGAAATGAAGGAAAAAATGTTAAGGGCAGCCAGAGAGAAAGGTCGGAGTACCCACAAAGGGAAGCCCATCAGACTAACAGCGGATCTCTCGCCAGAAACTAGAAGCCCGAAGAGAGTGGGGGCCAATATTCAACATTCTTAAAGAAAAGCATTTTCAACCCTGAATTTCATATCCAGCCAAACTAAGCTTCATAAGTGAAGGAGAAATAAAATCTGTTACAGACAAACAAATGCTGAGATATCTTGTCACCACCAGGCCTGCCTTACAAGAGCTCCTGAAGGAAGCACTAAACATGGAAAGGAACAACTGGTACCAGCTACTGCAAAAACATGCCAAATTGTAAAGACCATTGATGCTAGGAAGAAACAACATCAACTAATGGGCAAAATAACCAGCTAACATCATAATGACAGGATCAAATTCACACATAACAATATTAAACTTAAATGTAAATGGGCTAAATGCCCCAGTTAAAAGAAACAGACTGGCAAATTGGATAAAGAGTCAAGAACCATCCTTTGCTGTATTCAGGAGGCCCATCTCACTTGCAGAGACACACAAAGGCTCAAAATAAAGGGTTGGAGGAAGATCTACCAAGTAAATGGAAAACAAAAGAAAAAAAAAAAAGCAGGAGTTGCAATCCTAGTCTCTGATAAAACAGACATTAAACCCACAAAGATCAAAAGAGACAAAGAAGGTCATCACATAATGGTAAAGGGATCAATTCAACAAGAAGAGCTAACTATCCTAATATATATATGCACCCAATACAGGAGCACCCAGATTCATAAAGCAAGTCCTTAGAGATCTACAAAGAGACTTAGACCCCCACACAATAATAATGGGAGACTTTAACACCCCACTGTCAATATTAGACAGATCAATGAGACAGAAGGTTAACAATGATATCCAGGAATTGAACTCAGGTCTGCACCAAGCAGATCTAATAGACATCCTCCACCCTAAATCAACAGAATATACATTCTTCTCAGCACCACACTGCACTTATTCCAAAATTGACCACATAGTTGGAAGTAAAGCACTCCTCAGCAAATGTAAAAGAATACAAATCACAACAAACTGTCTCTCAGACCACAGTGCAATCAAATTAGAACTCAGGAATAAGAAACTCACTCAAAACCGCACAACTACATGGAAACTGAACAACCTGCTCCTGAGTGACTGCTGGGTAAATAATGAAATGAAGGCAGAAATAAAAATATTCTTTGAAACTAATGAGGACAAAGACACAGCATACCAGAATCTCTGGGACACATTTAAAGCAGTGTGTAGAGGGGAATTTATAGCACTAAATGCCCACAAGAGAAAGCAGGAAAGATCTAAAATCGACACCCTAACATCACAATTAAAAGAACTAGAGAAGCAAGAGCAAACAAATTCAAAAGCTAGCAGAAGGCAAGAAATAAATAAGATCAGAGCAGAACTGAAGGAGATAGAGACACAAAAAACCCTTCAAAAAATCAATGGATCCAGGAGCTGGTTTTTTGAAAAGATCAACAAAATTAATAGACTGCTTGCAAGACTAATGAAGAAAAGAGAGAAGAAACAAATAGACGCAATAAAAAATGATAAAGCAGATATCGCCACCAATCTCACAGGACTACAAACTACCATCAGAGAATACTATAAACACCTCTATGCAAATAAACTAGAAAATCTAGAAGAAATGGATAAATTCCTGGACACGTACACCTTCCCAAGACTAAATGAGGAAAAGTTGAATCTCTGAATAGACCAATAACAGGCTCTGAAATTGAGGCAATAATTAATAGTCTACCAACCAAAAAAAGTCCAGGACCCGACGGATTCACAGCCTAATTCTACCAGAGGTATCAAAAGGAGCTGGTACCATTCCTTCTGAAACTATTCCAATCAACAGAAAAAGAGGGAATCCTCCCTAACTCATTTTATGAGGCCAGCATCATCGTGATACCAAAGCCTGACAGAGACACAACAAAAAAAGAGAATTTTAGACCAATATCCCTGATGAACATCGATGCGAAATTCCTCAATAAAATACTGGCACACCAAATCCAGCAGCACATCAAAAAGCTTATCCACCATGATTAAGTCGGACTCATCCCTGGGATGCAAGGCTGGTTCAACATATGCAAATCAATAGACATAATCCATCATATAAACAGAACCAACGACAAAAACCACATGATTAACTCAATAGATGCAGAAAAGGACTTCGACAGAATTCAACAGCCCTTCATGCTAAAAACTCTCAATAAACTAGATATTGAGGGAACATATCTGAAATTAATAAGAGCTATTTATGACAAACCTACAGTCTATATCATACTGAATGGGCAAAAATTGGAAGCATTCCCCTTGAAAACTGACACAAGACAGGGATGCCCTCTCTCACCACTCCTATTCAACATAGTGCTGGACATTCTGGCCAGGGCAATCAGGCAAGAGAAAGAAATAAAGGGTACTCAGTTAGGAGAAGAGGAAGTCAAATTGTCCCTGTTTGCAGATGACATGATTGTATATTTAGAAAACCCCATTGTCTCAGCTCAAAATCTCCTTAAGCTGATAAGCAATCTCGGCAAAGTGTCAGGATAAAAAATCAATGTGTAAAAATCACAAGCATTCCTATACACCAATAACAGACAAACAGAGAGCCGAATCATGAGTGAACTCCCATTCACAATTGCTACAAAGAGAATAAAATACCTAGGAATCCAACTTACAAGGGATTTGAAGAACCTCTTCTAGGAGAACTACAAACCACTGCTCAAGGAAATAAAAGAGGACACAATCAAATGGAAGAACACTCCATGCTCATGGATAGGAAGAATCAATATTGTGAAAATGGCCATACTGCCCAAGGTAATTTATAGATTCAATGCCATCCCCATCAAGCTACCAATGACTTTCTTCACAGAGTTGGAAAAAACTACTTTAAACTTCATATGGAAGCAAAAAAGAGCCCACATTGCCAAGACAATCCTAAGCAAAAAGAACGAAGCTGGCGGCATCATGCTACCTGACTTCAAACTATACTACAAGGCTACAGTAACCAAAACAGCATGGTACTAGTACCAAAACAGAGATATAGATCAATGGAACAGAACAGAGCCCTCAGAAATAACACTGCATATCTACAACAGAGATACAGACCAATGGAACAGAACAGAGGCCTCAGAAATAACACCACACATCTAAAACCATCTGATCTTTGACAAACCTGACAAAAACAAGAAATAGGGAAAGGATTCCCTATTTAATAAATGGTGCTGTGAAAACTAGCTAGCCATATGTAGAAAGCCGAAACTAGATCTCTTCCTTACATCTTATACAAAAATTAATTCAAGATGGATTAAAGACTTAAATGTTAGGCCTAAAACCATAAAACCCCCAGAAGAAAACCTAGGCAATACCATTCAGACATAGGCATGGGCAAGGACTTCTTGTCTAAAACATCAAAAGCAATGGCAACAAAAGCCAAAATTGACAAATGGGATCTAATTAAAGAGCTTCTGCACAGCAAAAGAAACTACCATCAGAGTGAACAGGCAACCTACAAAATGGGAGAAAATTTTTGCAATCTACCCATCTGGCAAAGGGCTAATATCCAAGATCTACAAAGAACTTAAACAAATTTACAAGAAAAAAACAACCCCATCAAAAAGTGGGCAAAGGATATGAACAGACACTTCTCAAAAGAAGACATTTATGCAGCTAACAGACACATGAAAAAATGCTCATCATCACTGGTCATCAGAGAAATGCAAATCAAACCACAGTGAAATACCATCTCATACCAGTTAGAATGACGATCATTAAAAAGTCAGGAAACAACAGATGCTGGAGAGGATGTGGAGAAATAGGAACGCCTTTACACTGTTGGTGGGACTGTAAACTAGTTCAACCATTGTGGAAGACAGTGTGGCTATTCCTCAAGGATCTAGAACTAGAAATATCATATGACCCAGTGATCCCATTACTGGGTATATACCCAAAGGATTATAAATCATGCTACTATAAAGACACATGCACATGTATGTTTATTGTGGCACTATTCACAATAGAAAAGACGTGGAACCAACCCAAATGTCCATCAATGATAGACTGGATTAAGAAAATGTGGCACATATACAACATAGAATACTATGCAGCCATAAAAAAGGATGAGTTCATGTCCTTTGCAGTAACATGGAGAAGCTGGAAACCATCATTCTGAGCAAACTGCCACAAGGACAGAAAACCAAACACTGAATATTCTCACTCATAGGTGGGATTTGAACAATGAGAATACTTGGACACAGGGCGGGGAACATCACACACTGGGGCCTGTCATGGGGTGGGGGCCAGGAGGAGGGATAGCATTAGGAGAAATACCTAATGTAAATTATGAGTTAATTGGTGCAGAAAACCAACATGGCACATGTATACCTATGTAACAAACCTGCATGTTGTGCACATGTACCCTGGAACTTAAAGTATCTACAAAAAAAAAAATACTTTCGCATACCAAAAAATGGATTCAAAACCTCAAAAAAAAAAAAAATGAAATGCTAAAAGGAGTTCTTCCAGTTTAAAGTAAAGGACGATAATTTGCAACATAAAAGTACATGAAAGTATAAAACTCATGGCTGGGCATGGTGGCTCACATCTGTAATCCCAGCATTTTGGGAGGCCAAGGCAGGCAGATCACCTGAGGCCAGGAGTTCAAGACCAGCCTGACCAACATAGAGAAACTCCGTCTCTACTAAAAACAATAAAAAATTAGCTGGGCATGGTGGCTCATGCCTGTAATCTCAGCTTCTTGGGAAGCTGAGGCAGGAGAATCACTTGCACCCAGGAGGCAGAGGTTGTGGTGAGCTGAGATCACGCTATTGCCCTCCTGCCTGGGCACAAGAGCAAAACTCCATCTCAAAAAAAAAAAAAAAAAAAAAAAGAAAAAGGAAAAGGAAAAGAAAAAAAAGTATAAAACTGTAGTAAAAGTAAGTACATATTAAAATTCAAAATATTCTAATACTCTAATGGTGGTATATAAATCACTTATAAATTTGTTATAAAAGTTGACCGTCAAAATTATTAAAAAATATCTATAGCTATAATAATTTGTTTAGGGATGTACAATATTAAAAGGTGCAAATTGTGGCATCAAAAATGTAAAATATGATTGGGCAATAAAAATGTAGAGCTTTTGTATGCAGTTAATGTTAAGTTGTTAATACCTTAAGACAGCCTGTAACAACTATAGTAAATTTTACGTAAGCCTCATGGTAATCACAAAGCAAAATGTGTAGTAGATATATAAAAGATAAAGAAAAAGAAATCAAAATATGCCACTGAAGAAAATCATCTACTTACAAAGGAAGACAGCAAGAGAGGAAGAAAGAAAAAAAAAAGATCTTCATATTAACCAGAAAACAATGAACAAAGGGCAGCAGTAAATCCTTACCTATCAATAATTATCTTGAATGTAAATGAATTAAATTCTCCAATGAAAAGACATATAGAGTGAATGAATAAATAAAAATACAAGACTCAACTGTAAGCTGCCTACAAGGGACACTCAGCTTTAAGTACACACATAGACTATAAGTGAAGGGATAGAAGAATATATTTTATACAAATGAACCAAAAGAGAGCAGAGGTAGCTGTACTTATATCAGACAAAACAGACTTTAAGTTAAAAACTGGCAGGGGACAGTAGCTCACACCTCTAATCTCAGCACTTTGAGTGGTTGAGGTGGGCAGATCTCTTGAGCTCAGGAGTTCAAGACCAGCTTGGCAACATGGTGAAACCCCATCTCTATCGAAAAATACAGAAAAATAGTTGGATGTGGTGGCATGCACCTGTTGTCCTGGCTACTTGGGAGGCTGAGGTGAGAGAATTGCTTGAGCCTGGGGGATCAAGGCTGTAGTGAGCTGTGACTGTGCCATTGCACTCCAGCCTGGGTGACACAGTGAGACCCGTCTCAAAAAAGAAAAAAATGTAAAAACTGTAAAAAGAAAAAAAGAATGTCATTATATCATAATAAAGGAGTCAATTCATTAAAATAATATAATAATTGTAAACATATGTACACAATATTGAATTGCTCATATATATAAACCAAATATTAGTAGATCAGAAGGGATAGATAGATGGCAGTAAAAATAATAGTAGGAAACTTAATATCCTACTTTCAACTATGGAGAGATTATCCAGACAGAAAATTAATAAGGAAACACTGGATTGCAACTACACTTTAGATCAAGTGGACTTAATAGACACATACAGACTATTTCATCCAGTAGCAGCAGAATACACTTTTTTCTCAAGCACAAATGAAATATTCTCCAGGATAGATCATGTTAGAACACAAAATGAGGATTAATAAATTTTAGAAGTTTAAAATCATATCCAATATCCTTTCCAATCATAATGATATGCAACTAGAAATCATTAACAGGAAAAATTTTGAAAATGTATAAACAACATACTTCTAAACAAAAAAGTGGGTCAAATAAGAAATCTAAATGGAAATTTGAAAACATGTTGAGATAAAAGAAAACGGAAATACAAAACACCAAAATTTATGGGATGCAGCAAAAACAGTTCTAAGGGGGACGTTTATAGCAATAAATGCCTACATTAAAATAAAAGAATTATCTCTAACAATCAAATATTATTCAACTAGAAAAACAAAATCAGACTAAGTTCAAAGTTAGTAAAAGAAAGTAAATAATAAAAATCACAGCAGAATTCAATCAAATAGATACTAGAAAAAAAGATCAACACAACCAAAATATGTTTTCTTTAAAAAATAAATAAAACGGACAAATATTTAGTCTAAAAAAAGAGAAGAGTCAACTAAATAAAATCATGAATGCAAGAGATGTTGCAACTGATACCACACAAATACAAAAGATTGAAAGAGACTACTACCAACAATTATATGCTAACAAATTGAGTAACCTAGAAAAAAAAGATAAATTCCTGGACACATACAACCAACAATGACTTATACTGTGATGAAACAAAAAAAATCTGAGCAAATCCATAATGAAAGGAATACTGAATCAGTGAAAAATAATCTATCATCAAAGAAAAACCTGATGGTTCCATGGTTAAATTCTACCAAACATTTAAACATGAACTAATACCAATCCCTCTCAAACCCTTTTGAAAAATTGAAATAAGGGAATACTTATAAACTCATGTTACAATGCCAGTATTAGCCTGATACCGGGACTAGAAAGAACACTACCAGAAAAATAAAATTACAGGCCAATATCCCTGGTAAACCTCGGTGCAAAAATCCTCATGAAAATACTGGAAACCTAATTCAACAGCATATGAAATGAATCATCATGAATAAGTGGGATTTATCCATGGGATGCAAGGATGGTTCAATATACCATAATCACTAAATGTAATACCTCACATTAATAGAATGAAGTTTAAAATAATATGATTCTTTCAACAGATGCAGGAAAAGCATTTGATAAAATTCAACATGTCTTCATGATAAAAGCTGTCCACAAATTAAGTAAAAAACAAATATACCTCAACATAATAAAGGCCACATATGATAAACTCACAGTTAACTTCATACTCAATGGTAAAAAGGTGTAAGCATTTTCTCTAAGATCAGACAAGACTAGGATGCCCATTCTTGCCACATCTATCTAACATAGTACTGGAAGTCTTATCCAGAGCAGTTAAGCCAAAGAAAATTTAAAAAGACATCCAAATTGGGAATAAAGAAGTTAAATTGTCTCTGGAGATGACATGATTGTATATATAGAAAACTCTAAGAACTGTATCAAAAAGCTATTAATGACAATAAACAAATTTAGTAAAGTGGCAAAAGACAAAACATACAAAAATCAATACTGTTTCTATATACTAACAACAAACCATCTGAAAAAGAAATCAAGAAAACAATTCCATTTAAAATAGCATAAGAAAATCAAAGACTTATGAATAAATTTAAACAAGAAGAAGAAAAGCTGTACTCAGAAATCTATAAAACACTGATGAAATAAATTGGAGAAGACAAATAAATGGCCATATATCCTGTGTTCATTGATTGGAAGAATTGATACTTAAGAGTTCTACACTACCTAAAGTGATTCCCTGATTGAATAAAATTCCACTCAAAATTCTAAAGACATTTTTCATAGAAATAAAAAAAACACAGAAATAGAGAAAAATCACAGAATAAAAAGTATGAAATTACAAAAGACAGTGAGTAGCCAAGACAATCTTGAGTAAAAAGCAAAACAAAAGAAAAGCTGGGACATCACCTTGCCTAATCTCAGAATGTACTATAAAGCTACAGTAATCAAATAGCAATCTTACTTGAATGGTATAGTAACAGACATGTGGGCCAATAGAACAGAGTAGATAACCCAGAAATAATTCCACACATTTACAGTCAACTAATCACATACAACTAGAACAGACAATGGGGAAAGGGCAGTCTCTTCAATAAAGGTTGTGAGGAAAACTGTATATTCACATGCAGAAGAATCAAATTGGGCCTTTACCTTCCACCGTATTAAAAAAGTCACCTCAAAATGGATTATAGAATTAAACATAAAATTGTAAAACTACTGAAAGAAAACACAGAAAAACAGCTCCTTGGCATTAGTCTTTGCAACGATTTTTTGGATATGGTCCGAAAAGCACAGTCAATAACAGCAATAATAGATAAATGAGGTTGCATTAAACTAAATAGCTTCTGCCCTCTAAAGGAAAATAACCCAACAGTGTGAAGGGACAACCTAAATCTACAGAATGGAAGAAAATATTTGTAATTCATACATCTGATAATGAGTGAATATCTAAAATAAATAAGGAACTCAAACAATTGAATAGCAAGAAAACAACCCAATTATAAAACTACAAAATGAGCAGAGGAACTGAATAGACATGTTTTCAAAAAACAAGACATACAAACAGCTAGCAGGTATATGAAAAGGTGTTCAACATCACTAATCAACAGGGACATGCAATCAAATCCACAATAATATATCACCTCACTCCTGTTAGAATGACTATTATCAAAAGGCAAGGGTGGAGAGATGTAAATTAGTATACCCATTATAGGAAAGAGCATAAAGCTTGCTAAAAAATTAGAAATTGAACTACCATATGATCCAGTAATCTGACTACTTGGTATATGTATTTAAAGGAAATTAGTATGTCAGAGATATCTACACCCCCATGTTCACTGCAGCACTGTCCACAATAGCCAAGATATGGAATCAACCTGTGTCCATCAACAGATGAAGGAATTTTTAAAATATGGTATATATACACAATGAAATATTAATACCATTCATCCATAAAAAAGAAGAAAATCATGTCATTTGTGAAAGCATGGATGAACCTGGAGGGCATTAAGCCAAGTGAAATTAGCCAGGCACAGAAAGAGAAATACTTCATGATCTCACGTGTATAAGGAATCTAAAAATGTCAAGCTCTTAGGACCTGAGGATACAATTGTGGTTACTAGATCCCAGGAGAGGGAGGATCAGAAAGTGTTGGTCAAAGGGTACAGAGTTTCAGCCAGACAAGAGGACTAAGTTCTGGAGATCTATTTTACAGTATGGTACTTATAGCTAATAACAATATATTATATACCTAAAATGTGTTGAGAGAGTTGATTTGTAATCTTACCTGAAAAAAGTATGTGAAGTGATGGATGTGTTAATTAGCTTGACTTAATCATTTCACAATGTATTCATATGTCAAAAGTTCACATTGTACTCCATAAATGTATACCATTTTTATTTTTCAATTCAAAAATAAATCCAGAGGGTAAGAGATGAGATGCTTAATTACTGATGTGTATAAGAGGAGAAGTGGTCGAATTCCTAAGGCAAATTGTGCATAACTTGAGTATGGACCAAAGAGGGGCCACATGTAAGAGAGATGGCAGTAGACCCATCTTGCATCTTATCTCTGAGGACAACCTGGAAGAGTAGACAGAACTTTAGCAGAAGCTGAAAATATTACTAGATTCCTAAGAACTGAGGAAGGAATATGAATTAGTGTATAGATGCATTTGCACATATCAAATAACTCCAGAATGATGGAAGGTTGCTTAAGGACCCATGAAAGTGCTATGTCATCTTTCAACCTCTGCAATATCCAATAAGCACACAGCCCACAACAGTACCAATCAAGTAAGGTCTTTTCTTACCTTTCCTCTCTCTCCCAGCTCCAAACTTGGAGGAACTCTAGGTAGTTGATATGAAGGAAAGGGGAAGAAGAGGAAATTGATCATGCCATTTTCCGCACTGTAGACTTTTTGGTGTGAAAGAGTAAGAATGTGGAGAAGGCAAGATTTAACTTTAAATCCAGTTCAGATTAAATTCTTAGCTTAATTATATGGAATTATGCATTTTAATTTCTAAGTTGTGACTGTGTTTACACAAATATAATCACAGAACTTTTTTTTTCCCCAAAATGTTATGGGAGTTGGATGAATTTTCAACCAAGACAGAGAACTAGTTCTTTATGAGATTGAAAGTGAAAATGCTCTATAAAATCAAATTTACTTATTCCTTCAAAAGTAAAAGTAAATAATTGAGTTCCCAGGATTCAACATCAATGTACACACAAAATTTTATTTCTATATGCTAGCAAGAGATATTGGAAAATAAAATTAAATAAACAATGTTATTTCCAATGACATATACAGAAATTCTTAGAAATCCTTTCACAACAAGTTGTGAATAATATATACTATAAAACTCACGAAATATTGCCAAGACATTTGTTTATTTATTTATTTTTGAGACTGCATCTCCCTGTCACCCAGGCTGGAGTGCAGTGGCGGGATCTCTTCTCACTTCAGCCTCTGCCTCCCGGGTCCAAGCGATTCTCTCAAACTCCTGGCCTCGGCCGGGTGCTGTGGCTCACGCCTTTAATTCCAGCACTTTGAAAGGCCAAGGTGGGCGAATCACAAGGTCAGGAGTCCAAGACCAGCTTGACCAACATGGTGAAACCCTGTCTCTACTAAAAATACAAAAATTAGCTGGGCTTGGTGGCATACACCTGTAATCCGAGCTACTCAGGAGGCTAAGGCAGGAGAACTGTTTGAACCCGGGAAGCAGAGGTTGCAGTGAGTTGAGATTGTGCCACTGCACTCCAGCCTGGGTGACAGAGCGAAACTCCGTCTCAAAAAACAAACAAACAAACAACAACAACAACAAAACCTCCTGGCCTCAGGTGATCTGCCCTCCTCGGCCTCCCAAAGTGCTGGGATTACAGGTATCAGCCACCGCGCCCGGCCCAAGACAATTTTTTAAAATGTACATAAATGGAAGGACATACCATGTACCTGAATTTCAAGATGCCATTTAGTAGTATCTTTTGCTGTCAATCCTCCCTAATACATACATTAAATGTAATCATGATCCAAGTCCCCACAAAATTTTGCTTATAAATTAAAACTTGATTCTTATTTTAGAATAATTCAAAGCATCTCATGTTAAATTTAAAAAATTTGCAAAACAATGGTGGAAGAGTTACAAATCTAATTTTGATATATATTTTGTTTTGAGATGGAGTCTTGCTCTGTCACCCAGGCAGGGGTGCAGTGGCGCTATCTCAGCTCACTGCAGCCTCTGCAAAGACTCAAATACATGTTTGGGTCTATTTTATAAAGTGATGACAGGGTCATTCCACTGGGAAAGGATAGTCTTTCAACAAATGGAGCTGAAACAGGTAGATATTCATTGGGAAAAACAGCAATCTTCCCCTGACACCATCCAAAAAATAATTAAATATAAATCATAGACCTAACTATAAACTGTAAAATTTCTATAATAAAAACTTTACCATCTTGGGGTAAGTAAAAATTTTACAAACAAGACAAATTGCACTAGCCCAGTGATAAAAAAAACGATAAAGTAGACTTCATCAAAATTTACAAGAAATGTCCAGAATAGGCAAATCCACAGAGACAGGCAGCAAATTAGTGGTTGCGCACGGCTGGGGCAAGGGAGAAACGCTTAATAGGTATAAACTTTTTTTGGGAGGGTGATTAAAATGTTCTGGAACTAGACAGTAGTGATCGGTGAACACCGCTCTGAATGTACTAAAAGCCACTGAACTGTATGTTTTAAAATGGTGAATTTTATATTGTGTGAATTTTAATCAAAGATCTGCTCTTCAAAAGGCACCACTAAGAAAATGAAAAGTTAAGCATGGAGTAGGAGAAAAGATTTGCAATACATAAAACCAAAGGGGTTTATATGCAGGATAAGACACCATATGGAGAACTAAATGAAAAAACAAACAATGTCAGATTAAAAAATGTTTAAATAGACTTGAATTGATACTTCATAAAGAAAAAACATGGCCAGTGAGCTTATGAAAAGTCGCTTAGCGTTATTAGTCATCTCACCACCTGGTATAACACTTTATGACTTACAACAAATAATATTGAACACAATAATAACAATGAACACTCCAGAAATACTAATTGTTGTGATGATGCTGGTGGGAGTGTAAAATGGCAAACCCACAAAGTAAAAATATTTGGAAGTTTCTCACATATTTAAACAGACACTTCACCCACGATCTAGGAGTTTCATTTCTAGATATTTACTTTAGTAAATGAAAACGTGTCTATAAAATACTGTGCAAGAATGTTCATAGCAGTTTTATTTATAATAATTGAAAACCAAGGCAACCCAAATATTTGTCAACAGATGAAGGCATAAGCACATTGTGGTATTCACACAATGGAATCCTGCTCAGCAATTAGATGGAGTCACTATTGATACACATAACTGCATAAATCAATCTGAAAATATTTTTAAAAGAAACCGGAAAAACACAGAATACACATGGTATGATTTCATTCATATGAGGTTTAAAAATATGCAAACTAAACTATGGTAGTGAAATGGTGGTTGCTTCTAAAGGAAAGGATTGACTTAAAAATGGTCCTGAAACAACTGACTAGTATGATGAAAATGTTATATATTTTAATTACGATGATGGATAAAAAACTCATTTAACTGCATACCTAAAATCTGTAATTTTTTAAATAAGGGCTATATAATTCAATTAGGAAAGAATAAGTAATTTTTTAAAAGTCTCTGTACAATCTTATAGAAATCCTTCCTCTCTCCCTCTCTATTTTGTCTTCCTTATGGAGCACAGTTAAATATCCCTATCTATGGTACAATTTAGGTATAAACTATTTATTTAATAATTTGTTGATCTTAGGAAAAAATAGGCTTGATCTTTTAGGCTAGAGTTAAGTTCCAGCATCCCATACTCTAGAGAATTCAGGAAGTACCATGATACAGAAAGAACATGGCATTTGGAATCAAAATGA
Organism: Homo sapiens; assembly: GCF_000001405.40. Taxonomy (NCBI): domain Eukaryota; kingdom Metazoa; phylum Chordata; class Mammalia; order Primates; family Hominidae; genus Homo; species Homo sapiens. The sequence goes on from NC_000016.10 coordinate 59,824,348, forward strand.
CAAGGGTATTAGAACCAGCTCTGTCACTGATGAGCTGGATTTTGAAAAGATTAAATTGTCTAAGTCTCAGTTGCTTTATCTGTTCAGTAAAAGAGGACCCTATGTAATTTTCCCACAGAGTGGGAAAAGATCAAGATGATATTCATAGAATATTAGCACACATTAGTTAGAGCTCCCTAAGTGATAGTTTTTTTCTTACCCAATTCAAAAATTAATTGAATATTTTTAATTAAATAATTTATAAACCTTGAATTGAACATGATTTCTGATATTCTTAGGTTGCTTAATTTTTCCTGTATCTGACATATCTAAGGTGTTACTGGTCAACACTTCAAAGAGTACTCAAAAAACGTTTAAGAGTTTAACCAATTGCTGACACTGGATTTCATAATCTGGGGCATGTGTGATTTTCTCTGTGTACTCCAGTGAAAGGGAGCTTATTGGATATAAACAAGTTAACCTGTAAGGGGAAAACAGTTGCAGAGTTGTTACGAATGGGTAAAGAGTTAGGTAGTCATTACTCTTGCTGTTACTACTATCGAGAAGTCAGGAAATTACCCCATTTACTAATTTATCAATTCACTCATTCAGTCAGTTATTCCTTTGGTCATTTATTTGTTCATCTGCATAATTTTTCAACAAATATTTTGTGAATGCCTAATGTACTATGTGCTAGGTGTATGTAAAACAGAAACATTAAACGTTTCTTTTATATTTTTAATAATTTTACACAAGGGAAAGTGTACATAGATTCTTTGAGACAGCTTTAGCTGCAAAGGAGTCTACTGAAATTCCTCATGCTAACATGCTGTTTTCAGAATGTCAATGCCTAAGGTAGAAATTAAAGACCTCTGGGAGTTCTGGAGAGTACAGTCATTGGACAGACCTTAAAACAAGGAGACAGTATTGTCCCAAAGGTGAGAATATGACAATTGCTATGTCATGCCCATGAGTAATCACTGAGTTAATGCCTCCTTCAAAAATTCTGCCAGGGAACTTAGCTGTGTGCAGCACCTCTTGTTTGTTCTCAGGTTTGTAGTACTAACAAGGCTTCTTAACAATTAATTACACCCCTGTTTTACAAGTGTGAATGTTTTGATTTGTGAACTTTCTGGAGAACTTCAGGGAAATTTAAATTGCCCTCCAACAACTACCCAGTTCACTGCCCTGCACTATGCAAATTTGATATTAAATGATCAAGTATGAACCCGAAGCCTCATGAGGTCATGGAATCCCTTGATTTGGGACCAGGTGTATAGAGATGTTCAATTATTAAATAATTAGTTTGGAAACAATAACTAATGTAGTTTAGGTCTCTTGCTGATTTCCTAATGTTTGTTAATTTAAGCACCTGTGTCTTCCTGTAACACTTTCCTACAGAATGCTTACCAGGATATGTCTAGCATGTAAATTAACAATGAATATAATTACCTTTTTGCAACTCACTCCAGGTGCCTAAATGAGTAGAAATGAATTATGACTTTAATTGTCAGAAAGAGTTCAATATTCTGAATCTAATGATTTACAAAATCATTTAAATGTTTGGCTAAGTAATAATGTTAGTGTTAATTAAAACACCAAAATATTATATTTTTAGGTTAACCAAAGGTTCCATTAAAGATTCAGATAAATAATTATATAGTAAAGAGAAGCAGTTTGTTTTAGCATACCTAATCTGTTCTCTGACTATTTCAAGGATGACTGAAGTTGTAGATGTATTTTCCAGCCTTCAGCAAGGTCCCTAATTCTTTCCTTTGACCTTCCCCATTTTTCTTGGAAGTAAAACAAAATTCATCTTTGCAGAGAAATCATCCCATTGGCACTTAAAATTCATGTTCAAAATTGCACTCATTATCTTCTTATAAAGTCATCTCAATAATATCATCACCATTCCCTCATGTGACTAAAAAAGAATGTGAAAATCATTTTAGATTTATCTGTCTCCCTTCAGCCCTACATCCATTAGTTAACAAGTTCTGGTCATTTTTCTTCAGACTCATCACCAAATTCCCAACCAAACTCTCATCTTATCTTGCTTACTCTATCCCAGTAGTGTCTTCCTATTGAGTCATATTGTCCCGTCTTTAGGACCCTTGTCTCTAGCCTTAGCTGTAACCTTCAGGCCATCTTCTGAATATAAGAGTTATTTTTCCAAAGTGCAATTAAAAATAAGAGAAGGAAGAAAGTTCATGTCCCAAAGGTGCGGTTGCTAATGAGTTGGAAATGGGAGGAGTTTGTTTTGAGAGATAAGAGGAACACATATTGTCATTTTGAAACTATTCTGGATGTCATCTCTTTATGGAATCTTATTCATCAAAAATTATTCAACTAGTCATTTCACATTTACACATATTCCACATGTGTAAAATGGATATCTTTAATGGATATAAACACTAAAAATAAGATAAAACGTTTAAAAGTATAACATCTTCCTAGTATTGAAATATGCAGATAATGCCTTTAATTCTCAAATGAAATGCTCATACAGAGATAGTAAAAGACATATAATCTTATGGCATAATTATAGGCAAATCATCCCTAATCATTATTTCACAATTTCACCCTAAGTCTTAAGGTCAGGCAGTGGATTTATACGTAAGATGTTAAATTTGTTAAAGTGCCATGTTAGCACAAATTGATTTGATAAAGACTGGTAGAACTTTTCCTAAAATAGAAAGAAAATGGGTAAAATAATCTTTTAAAAAGTCTGTGACTTTCATGGCAGATTGGCAGGGGTACCCCATTATGTAGTGTAACATGTATTACTACACTCATAACAGTGCATGTTAAAATGCCAGGAAATAAACAGCAGGACTGAGGTAGGAATGAGGTTGCCTGCATAGAGCATTTCTTAGAAACATAATTACAGCATCATTGAAGCATGAAGGTAGCCACACATATTTGCAGCTGCTATAATCAGTGTAATTGGCCTGCCATTTCCTCTGCACACCCTTCTTTGGTTAAGACTTTAGGAGTGTTTCTGCTGGAATGATATAGTTAATGCCCATTTGTTCTCTTCATGCATTAAATCATGCTGTTCCTCTCTTCTACTCATATTGCTACTGTATCATATGATATTGTTTGTGGAGTAGATTCAACTGTCAAATGGACTTTCAGATTTTCTCTCAGAATGGAGTTTATAAAACAATTAAACATAAGACTTGTTTTCATTGTTGTTATTATTCTTTGCATCATTTCTGGGTCCAGTTATGAATATCCACCTCATTAGCCCCTCTCTGCGTGGATACCTTGATTGTCACTGGCAGAGAAAGAAAGAGGAAAATTATTCACGAATTGCTAGAGTCAACCAGGGCAAATTCTAAGGCAGGGTATCTCAAACTTACCTCCTAATGGTTATTCTACCAACAAGACAAATGTACTCATAATGGAATAAAATAATTTGTTTTTGTTGAAAAGATCATATGTAGTAGATTTACAAAGATTATGTGTAAATAGTTACCTTTAGCCTTGACAATAATCATATATTTATAGTCCAAGTAATTTTAGAACATCACCAATCTTTTCCCTAAATATTGAGAAGCAATGCTAATAGATATGGAAAGTCATTTAAAGTTTAAGTAAGGAAAAAACATAGTAGTTAGAGAATACAGTATTATTTTATATTAATTATGGTTGCAATGGTAATTAATGGGCTCAGAACTGGGAGAAATAAGACAAATTATAAATGATTACTGATTCCTTCTGCATCTGGTCATGGTGAATTAACAGGGATTGGACTTATCCTCCTACAGTAAACACTGAACAAATAATATAAAATGACTTATTTTAGACAGTGGGAAGAAGCACCGTAAGATCATGACCCCTGAGAAAAGCGAAATAAGCAGGGCGAGCCCCATGATCACATCGGTTTTCTTGCAGACACATTCCAATCCACAATGTTGGCAGAAAAATCCAGAGTGTAGCACAGTGGTTTGATGAAATGAGGAGGCAGATATCTCACTGCAGAAAAATTGAGGCAATTATTGAAGAATGATTGAAATAATTTTACCTTAGTGTTCTAGTTCCTGTGGTATCTTTGAAGCAGTGAGGAAAGTACAATGAGAACTGATCATAATACCTAAGAACTAAGAAATAAGAAAAGAAGGAAAGCAGGAAAGAAGAGAGAGAAAAGAGAGATGGAGACAGAGAAGGGAAGAGAAAGAGGGAGGAGAAGCTAAGGAACGAGAAGGGGAGGGAGAGGAAGAGGGGCATGGGAAGAGGGGAGAAAGAAAAGAAAGCAGGAAGAAAAGGTAGAGGGAGAAGGAGGGGAGAGGAGAAAAAAGGAAGAAAAGAAAAAAAGGAAAGGGGGAGGGAAGGACAGGATGAAAGGAAGGAAGGAAGGAAAGGGGGAAAGGAGAAAGGAAGAGAGAGAAAGAAAGAAATTAGCATTTGTAATATGCATGCTATTTAAGATTTCCATAGTGATCATGGATTTCCCAGCAATGAAAATATAAACATTTCATGTTTCATCTTTTCTCTTTGCTGTGTGCTTAGGATGATGAAGGTGAAGGCATAGTCAGAGGAGGGAAGCCGAAAACCATGTAATACTATGCAGCCATAAAAAATGATGAATTCATGTCTTTTGTAAGGACATGGATGAAGCTGGAAACCATCATTCTCAGCAAACTATCACAAGGACAAAAAACCAAACACCGCATGTTCTCACTCATAGGTGGAAATTGAACAATGAGAACACTTGGACACAGGAAGGGGAACGTCACACACAGGGGCCTGTTGTGGGGTGGGGGGAGGGGGGAGGGATAGCATTAGGAGATATACCTAATGTAAATGATGAGTTAATGGGTGCAGCACACCAACATGGCACATGTATACATATGTAACAAACCTGCACATTGTGCACATGTACCCTAGAACTTAGAGTATAATAATAATAATAATAATAAAAAGAAAGTTTATGTTCCCACTGTTTCGAAACCCTTTTTTAGTGTGGGTAATCTTAAACTACCAATATATGACAAGTACTAATGTTGCCAGATAATCGGATATATCATTTTTTAAGAAATGCTGTTCAGATTTTATAAATCCATTTGCATATTTGCATAGCATTCAGTGGTATTTCAGGGGAGGAATGATACTTGGGGCAGGATCCGGTTTCTTTGGATGGGCTATTTGTTCTCCTTATAGCAAGTTCTGACCTGAATTCAGAGAGGCTATACAGACAAATGGACCTTCAGATGAAGAATTTAAGTGTAAGAAGAAAAATAATCTTACTAAATAAAGTACCTTACTACATCTTGGCAAACATAACCATATGGCACTCTTATCTCCTAGAGGTACAGATGTTATCTTTCAGGATATAGAATAATCCACTCACATCTTCTTCATTATACTGGTCTATCTTGATAGATTAAGGCCAATCTTATAAGTTCATTGGGATAGAGGTGGCAAATAAAACTTAAATTTTCCTCAATTTTTGTCTCCTCACACCAGTATGGTCTTAGTTCTCTAAAGAATTATCACTCATAGTTTATAATAGAATCAATTGATAAAATAATTATTAACCATTACGGGTCATTAATACTTTATAAAGCATGCTCGCATATATATTGTTCCAAAATAACTTTTTTTGGGAATTTATATTTCAGACTTGGTGCTCTGCAAGTGAAATATGATTATACTGAACTCCTTTAGTCTTTGAAATTAATTATAGGTGCTAATAACTATCCCTATTTTAGAGAGAAGACATAAGCGCTTTAGGAAGGAACCTAGCCCATGTTACACAACCCGAACTTGAGGGGCAATGTAAAGACCCAGGTTTGCTCTGCTTCAAACCTCAAGCACCTAAATATCATGATGCCTCTTTAGTATCATGTTTTACATTTTATAAATGAAGAAATGAGGGGGTCAGAGAGGTGCTTCACCTAGGAACATGGAGTTACCTAAGGACATGCAGTTACCTAAAGAGGACAATTGAGATCTATATTCAGATTTTTCATAAAAAATCTTTGAGTATTTTTCCTACTCTGTAGCAGCTTCTCAAGTTATTGGTCACATATAAGCATAAGAAATATTTCTCAGGTACCTTTCCTTTTTAAAATGTGTAAGTGTTCCTATGTCAGAAAGGTCTTCAGGTTGCACATTCTATATAAATTGTAATGAGATACATGTAGGCATAAATGTATTTCTAACTGTAAAATATAATTACTTAAAAAAATAACTGTACTAATTTTTAGGGGGTCTAGCATTGAAAAAAAATATGAGAGTAACAGATGTAGATGTAATTTTAATCTAAGGCCAGGTACTCCATATGAGATAATTTAAGTGACAAATCCCTGGACAATTCAGGGGGAAAAGAAGCAAAAATTAACATTTTCGGAGCTTTATTAAAGTAAGCCTATTTTTTTTTTATACTTTAAGTTTTAGGGTACATGTGCACAACATGCAGGTTAGTTATATATGTATACATGTGCCATGTTGGTGTGCTGCACCCATTAACTCATCACTTAATATTAGGTATATCTCCTAATGCTATCCCTGCCCCCTCCCCTCACCCCACAACAGGCCCCGGTGTGTGATGTTCCCCTTCCTGTGTCCATGTGTTCCCATTGTTCAATTCCCACCTGTGAATGAGAACATGAGGTGTTTGATTTTTTGTCCTTGCGATAGTTTGCTGACAATAATGGTTTCCAGCTTCATCCATGTCCCTACAAAGGACATGAACTCATCATTTTTTATGGCTGCATAGTATTCCATGGTGTATATGTGCCACATTTTCTTAATCCAGTCTATCATTGTTGGACATTTGGGTTGGTTCCAAGTCTTTGCTACTGTGAGTAGTGCCGCAATAAACATACATGTGCATGTGTCTTTATAGTAGCATGATTTATAATACTCTGGGTACATACCCAGTAATGGGATGGCTGGGTCAAATGGTATTTCTAGTTCTAGATCCCTGAGGAATCACCACAGTGACTTCCACAATGGTTGAACTAGTTTCCAGTCCCACCAACAGTGTAAAAGTGTTCCTATTTCTCCACATCCTCTCCAGCACCTGTTGTTTCCTGACTTTTTAATGATTGCCATTCTAACTGGTGTGAGTCGGTATGTCATTGTGGTTTTGATTTGCATTTCTCTGATGGCCAGTGATGATGAGCATTTTTTCATGTGTCTGTTAGCTGCATAAATGTCTTCTTTTGAGAAGTGTCTGTTCGTATCCTTTGCCCACTTTTTGATGGGGTTGTTTGTTTTTTTCTTGTAAATTTGTTGGAGTTCATTGTAGATTCTGGGTGTTAGTCCTTTGTCAGATGAGTAGATTGCAAAAATTTTCTCCCATTTTGTAGGTTGTCTGTTCACTCTGATGGTAGTTTCTTTTGCTGTACAGAAGCTCTTTAGTTTAATTAGATCCCATTTGTCAATTTTGGCTTTTGTTGCCATTGCTTTTGGTGTTTTAGACATGAAGTCCTTGCCCATGCCTATGTCCTGAATAGTATTGCCTAGGTTTTCTTCCAGGGATTTTATGGTTGTAGTTCTAACATTTAAGTCTTTAATCCATCTTGAATTAATTTTTGTATAAGGTGTAAGGAAGGGATCCAGTTTCAGCTTTCTACATATGGCTAGCCAGTTCTCCCATTTATTAAATAGGGAATCATTTCCCCGTTTCTTGATTTTGTCAGGTTTGTCAAAGATCAGATGGTTGTAGATATGTGGCATTATTTCTGAGGGCTCTGTTCTGTTCCATTGGTCTCTCTCTCTGTTTTGGTACCAGTACCATGCTGTTTTGGTTACTGTAGCCTTGTAGTATAGTTTGAAGTCAGGTAGCGTGATGCCTCCAGCTTTGTTCTTTTGGCTTAGGATTGACTTGGCAATGCGGGCTCTTTTTTGGTTCCATATGAACTTTAAAGTAGTTTTTTCCAATTCTGTGAAGAAAGTCATTGGTAGCTTGATGGGGATGGCATTGAATCTACAAATTACCTTGGGCAGTATGGCCATTTTCACAATATTGATTATTCCTATCCATGAGCATGGAATGTTCTTGCATTTGTTTGTATCCTCTTTTATTTCATTGAGCAGTGGTTTGTAGTTCTCCTTGAAGAGGTCCTTCACATCCCTTTTAAGCTGGATTCCTAGGTATTTTATTCTCTTTGAAGCAATTGTGAATGGGAGTTCACTCATGATTTGGCTCTCTGTTTGTCTGTTATTCATGTATAAGAATGCTTGTGATTTTTGCACATTGATTTCGTATCCTGAGACTTTGCTGAAGTTGCCTATCAGCTTAAGGAGATTTTGGGCTGACACAATGGGGTTTTCTAGATATACAATCATGTCATCTGCAAATAGGGACAATTTGACTTCCTCTTTTCCTAATTGAATACCCTTTATTTCCTTCTCCTGCCTGATTGCCCTGGGCAGAACTTCCAACACTATGTTGAATAGGAGTGGTGAGAGAGGGCATCCCTGTCTTGTGCCAGTTTTCAAAGGGAATGCTTCCAGTTTTTGTCCATTCAGTATGATATTGGCTGTGCGTTTGTCATAGATAGCTCTTATTATTTTGAGATACGTCCCATCAATACCTAATTTATTGAGAGTTTTTAGCAACGAAGTGTTGTTGAATTTTGTCAAAGGCCTTTTCTGCTTCTATTGAGATAATCATATGGTTTTTGTCTTTGGTTCTGTTTATATACTGGATTACGTTCATTGATTTGCATATGTTGAAGCAGCCTTGCATCCCAGGGATGAAGCCCACTTGATCATGGTGGATAAGCTTTTTGATGTGCTGATGGATTCGGTTTGCCGGTATTTTATTGAGGATTTTTGCATTGATGTTCATCAGGGATATTGGTCTAAAATTCTCATTTGTTTGTGGTGTCTCTGCCAGGTTTTGGTATCAGGATGATGCTGGCCTCATAAAATGAGGATTTTATGAGGGAGGATTTTTAGGGAGGATTCCCTCTTTTTCTGTTGATTGGAATAGTTTCAGAAGGAATGGTACCAGCTCATCCTTGTACCTCTGGTACAATTTGGCTGTGAATCCATCTGGTCCTGGACTTTTTTTGGTTGGTAAGCTATTAATTATTGCCTCAATTTCAGAGCCTGTTATTGATCTATTTAGAGATTCAACTTCTTCCTGGTTTAGTCTTAGGAGGGTGTATGTGTCGAGGAATTTATCCATTTCTTCTAGATTTTCTACTTTATTTGTGTAGAGGTGTTTATGATGTTCTCTGATGGTAGTTTGTATTTCTGTGGGATCGGTGGTGATATCCCCTTTACCATTTTTTATTGCATCTATTTGATTCTTCTCTCTTTTCTTCTTTATTAGTCTTGCTAGCAGTCTATCAATTTTGTTGATCTTTTCAAAAAACCAGCTCCTGGATTCATTGATTTTTTTGAAGGGTTTTTTGTGTCTCTATCTCCTTCAGTTCTGCTCTGATCTCAGTTATTTCTTGCCTTCTGCTAGGTTTTGAATTTGTTTGCTCTTGCTTCTCTAGTTCTTTTAATTGTGATGTTAGGGTGTCGATTTTAGATCTTTCCTGCTTTCTCTTGTGGGCATTTAGTGCTATAAATTCCCCTCTACACACTGCTTTGAATGTGTCCCAGAGATTCTGCTATGCTGTGTCTTTGTTCTCGTTGGTTTCAAAGAACATCTTTATTTCTGCCTTCATTTCGTTATTTACCCAGCAGTCATTCAGGAGTAGGTTGTTCAGTTTCCATGTAGTTGATCGGTTTTGAGTGAGTTTCTTAATCCTGAGTTCTAGTTTGATTTCACTGTGGTCTGAGAGACAGTTTATTATAATTTCTGTTCTTTTACATTTGCGGAGGAGTGCTCTACTTCCAACTATGTGGTCAGTTTTGGAATAAGTGCAGTGTGGTGCTGAGAAGAATGTATATTCTGTTGATTTGGGGTGGAGAGTTCTGTAGATGTCTATTAGGTCCACTTGGTGCAGAGCTGAGTTCAATTCCTGGATATCCTTGTTAACTTTCTGTCTTGTTGATCTGTCTAATGTTGACAGTGGGGTGTTAAAGTCTCCCATTATTATTGTGTGGGAGTCTAAGTCTCTTTGTAGATCTCTAAGGACTTGCTTTATGAATCTGGGTGCTCCTGTATTGGGTGCATATATATTTAGGATAGTTAGCTCTTCTTCTTGAATTGATCCCTTTACCATTATGTAATGGCCTTCTTTGTCTCTTTTGATCTTTGTTGATTTAAAGTCTGTTTTATCAGTGACTAAGATTGCAACCCCTGCCTTTTTTTGTTTTCCATTGGCTTGGTAGATCTTCCTCCATCCCTTTATTTTGAGCCTATGTGTGTTTCTGCATGTGAGATGAGTTTCCTGAATACAGCACACTGATGGGTCTTGACTCTTTATCCAATTCGCCAGTCTGTGTCTTTTAATTGGAGCATTTAGCCCATTTACATTTAAGGTTAATATTGTTATGTGTGAATTTGATCCTGTCATTAATGATGTTCGCTGGTTATTTTGCTCATTAGTTGATGCAGTTTCTTCCTAGCCTCGATGGTCTTTACAATTTGGCATGTTTTTGCAGTGGCTGGTACTGGTTGTTCCTTTCCATGTTTAGTGCTTCCTTCAGGAGCTCTTTTAGGGAAGGCCTGGTGGTGACAAAGTCTCTCAGCATTTGCTTGTCTGTAAAGTATTTTATTTCTCCTTCATTTATGAAGCTTAGTTTGGCTGGATATGAAATTCTGGGTTGAAAATGCTTTTCTTTAAGAATGTTGAATATTGGCCCCCACTCTCCTCTGGCTTGTAGAGTTTCTGCCGAGAGATCCACTGTTAGTCTGATGGGCTTCCCTTTGTTGGTAACCCGACCTTTCTCTCTGAATGCCCTTAACATTTTTTCCTTCATTTCAACTTTGGTGAATCTGACAATTATGTGTCTTGGAGTTGCTCTTCTCAAGGAGTATCTTTGTGGCGTTCTCTGTATTTCCTGAAGTTGAATGTTGGCCTTCCTTGCTAGATTGGGGAAGTTCTCCTGGATAATATCCTGCAGAGTGTTTTCCAACTTGGTTCCATTCTCCCCATCACTTTCAGGTACACCAATCAGATGTAGATTTGGTCTTTTCACATAGTGTCATATTTCTTGGAGGCTTTGTTCGTTTCCTTTTATTCTTTTTTCTCTAAACTTCTCTTCTCGCTTCATTTCATTCATTTGATCTTCCATCACTGATACCCTTTCTTCCAGTTGATTGAATCGGCTACTGAAGCTTGTGCATTTGTCACATAGTTCTTGTGCCTTTGTTTTCAGCTCCATCAGGTCCTTTAGGGACTTCTCTGCCTTGGTTATTCTAGTTAGCCATTCGTCTAATTTTTTTTCAAGGTTTTTAACTTCTTTGCCGTGGGTTCAAGCTTCCTCCTTTAGCTCGGAGTAGTTTGATCATCTGAAGCCTTCCTGTCTCTATTCATCAAAGTCATTCTCCTTCCAGCTTTGTTCCATTGCTGGTGAGGAGCTGCGCTCCTTTGGAGGAGGAGAGGCACTCTGATTTTTAGAGTTTCCGGTTTTTCTGCTCTGTTTTTTCCCCATCTTTGTGGTTTTATATACCTTTGGTCTTTGATGATGGTGATGTACAGATGAGGTTTTCGTGTGGATGTCCTTTCTGTTTGTTAGTTTTCCTTCTAAGAGTCAGGACCCTCAGCTGCAGGTCTGTTGGAGTTTGCTGGAGGTCCACTTCAGACCCTGTTTGCCTTGGTATCAGCAGTGGAGGCTGCAGAACAGGAGATACTGGTGAACAGCAAATGTTGCTGCCTGATCGTTCCTCTGGAAGTTTTGTCTCAGAGGAGTACCCAGCCGTGTGAGGTGTCAGTCTGCCCCTACTGGGGGGTCAGGGACCCACTTGAGGAGGCAGTCTGTCCGTTCTCAGATCTCTAGCTGCGTGCTGGGAGAACCACTACTCTCTTCAAAGCTGTCAGACAGGGACATTTAAGTCTGCAGAGGATTCTGCTCCCTTTTGTTTGGCTATGCCCTGCCCCCAGAGGTGGAGTCTACAGAGGCAGGCAGGCAGGCCTCCTTGAGCTGTGGTGGGCTTCACCCGATTTGAACTTCCTGGCCGCTTTGTTTACCTACTCAAGCCTCAGTGATGGCAGGCGCCCCTCCCCCAGCCTCACTGCCGCCTTGCAGTATGATCTCAGACTGCTGTGCTAGCAATGAGCGAGGCTCCACTGGCATAGGACCCTCAGAGCCAGGCGCAGGATATAATCTTTTGGTGTGCCGTTTGCTAAGACTTTTGGAAAAGTGCAGTATTATGGTGGGAGTGACCCGATTTTCCAGATGCTGTCTGTCACCCCTTTCTTTGACTAGGAAAGGGAATTCCCTGACCCCTTGTGCTTCCTGGGTGAGGCGATGCCTTGCCCTGCTTTGGCTCATGCTCGGTGTGCTGCACTCACTGTCCTGCACCCACTTTCCAACACTCCCCGGTGAGATGAACCCAGTACCTCAGTTGGAAATGCAGAAATCACTCGTCTTCTGCATCGCTCATGTTGGGAGCTGTAGACTGAAGCTGTTTCTATTCGGCCATCTTGGCTCCACCCCCCAGCCTATTTCTTTTTTTGGGAGATTTCTTTGTTCTTAAAAGATGGGGTTGAGAGAGTGTGGATGAATCCACAAAGCACCATGAAAGAAAGCCTTGGACTTGAAATAAGGATGACTGGAGGTTGAGGTTTTAAATTTGTCACTGATGTCAGGTATGTTGCTTAATCTCTCCAATTTTCATTTTTCTCATCTGCAAATTTAAATCCTAAAACCTGGTCTAATGGACTATTTTGAAAATGGAATGTCATAATGCACATTAGAATAGAATGACTCTCTTACTAGATGAAATTTCAATTATGTGATGAATGGAAGAAAATGTGAACCAACATTTTCAGGCGCTTGGGAATGGGTGCACTGGCCCAAAAAAGCAAATGTGAGGAAAGAGGAAACAATAGCATTTACTGCATGACCCTGGGGTCTATAACATTATCATTTTCACTGAACTATAGATAACATATAAGTATTCTCTTGGGCCCTGATTCTTAACAGAACAATTTTACCAATCAGATACCTAAAACATTAAATGAACTACATTAAACTATAATTCTGCTGATCATATATATCTTAACTCTTTCCAGCATTGTATATGTTATGTAAATCAGTACAAAGGTATGCATAAAGGGAGAAAAATGAAGTAGTTAATAATCATTACTTCTTCTCCCCAACCTCCTCCTTCTGCTATCAAAGCAGTGAAAGTAGCTAACAGTAAGTGTTGACTATCATTCTTGTATATTAACTTAGTGAATACTCACACCAACCCTGTGGATTAGCTACTATTATTATCCCCATTTTTCAGGGGAGAAAAACAAGACTAGAAAGATTAAATAACTCATTTATTAATGTATCTGGATTTTAAAATCTAGCTTTAAATCTTCCAGCACTTGAGTCTTAGTATATTCTTTGTGTGTGTTTTCCAAAGTCACACAACTGGTGTCTGAAGTAGATGGAATTTAAAACCAGAAATTCTCACTCTGGAGTTAGTGTTGTTAACCAAAGTCCTTACTGTGAGAAAGACATCATGCTACATCTTTTCATATATGTTGTCTCATGAAATTCTTACAATAATCTTATGGGAGATGAATAGTAATACCTATATTTATAAATAAGAAAACAGGCACAGAAAATTTGAATTCATTTTCTAAACTACATTGACAAAGCCTGTATTTGCCTGTTTTTTTTTTTCTTTTTTTTGAGACAGAGTTTCACTCTTGTTGCCCAGGCTGGAGTGCAATGACACTATCTCAGCTCATTGCAACGTCTGCCTCCTGGGTTCAAGTGATTCTCCTGCCTCAGCCTCCCCAGTAGATGGGATTTCAGGTGCCCACCACCATGCCTGGCTAATTTTTTTTTTTTATATTTTTAGTAGAGATGAGGTTTCACCATGTTGGTCAGGGAGGTCTCGAACTCATGACCTCAGGTGATCTGCCTGCCTCAGCCTCCCAAAGTGCTGGGATTACAAGTGTGAGCCACCACGCCTGGCACCTGTATTTTTTCAATAATATTTTGCTATCTTTGAGTCACCTGATTATTTGATTTCTCTAGGGTGAATAGCCAAATAAGTGAAAAAAATGACAAAGGGAAATATGGGTGCTTATTGGATAATATTAAAGGTGCATATTAACAGAATATTAATGGAAACTTTGGTATCTGGTCAGGAGAATAAGTGTGCCATTGTTAGGGGAAGAAACTGAAAAAGAGGCCAATTTATAGATATTAGAGTTCATCATAGGAGGGAAGAGCTGCCAGTCCATGACACACAGATTGAAATCAAAGTTTCCTTCTACTGAATAGGTTGGTAGGGGATGAGAAAAAAATTAGAAAACACTGTCAGAACCACTGGGATAGACACATAAAGGAGGAACTACAAGGCCAGGTAAAGCCAGGAGTGAAGATGGCTTAACCCTGAGACTATTGAAAGAGGCTTCACCTGATTCAAAATTTCTGATCAGCAGTCAGGATGTGGGCTCAGGGGTGGAGTCAGGTGGAATCTGAATTTAGAGACATTAGTACTATCACCTATAAGAATATAAATATTAGCCCATTATTCTTGGCCCCCTGCTTTTGATTGTGTGTGTATCCTTTGGCTGTACATAAATGTGTGCTTTTGCTCATCTACAAATTCACGCTATGTCTACAGAAAATACCAGATCAACATTGAAAAGAATAGAGTCTAGAAGATAAAGTCTGCTCTGTTTGAGATGTCAGCAGTCTGGTTCAGGAATTTGACAGGCCATGGCCTCCAGATAGCATATCCCTAGTCATTTTTCACTCAATTCTATTTTGTACTCCACAAAAATTCTGTCCATGTCTCTCACATGGATATACTTTTTTGTGTATATTAAACTCAGTAAATGACTGTAACGTTACTCTACATCATACTTTACTGAATGTTAAAGTGTTGGAATCACTCCCAAAGTAGTTACCAAACTCAAAGAATATAGTTGAATATGCCAGGCGCTGTGGCTCACGCCTGTAATCCCAGCACTTTGGGAGGCCAAGGTGGGTGGCTCACTTGAGGTCTGGAGTTCGAGACCAGCCTGGCCAACGTGGTGAAACCCTGTCTCTACTAAAACTTCAAAAATTAGCTGAGCGTGGTGGCGGGCGCCTGTAATCCTAGCTACTCGGGTGGCTGAGGCAGGAAAATGGCTTGAACCCAAGACGAAGAGGCTTCGGTGAGCCGAGGTCGTGCCATTGCACTCCAGCCTGGGAGACAAGAGCAAAACTTTGTCTCAAAAAAATATAGTTGAATAAAACAACTTTGCAGATATAGACAGTTCAAAACATTTTTTTCTGTTGCTTAATTGTATCCTCTGAGGGGTTATAAATATGTCTGAGAAGAATTACGTGATGAGATAAAATAGCAAAATTTTTTGTTCTTAGTATCTACCACAAAACACATATTGTTATAACAAAATATGAACTGTGGTTCTAAAAAAAGTAGAAAGTGAAATCAAAAAAACAGGCAGTTCATCTTCTTTCATCTTCCTTTGTTTTACCAGAATCTTAAACATGATCATAAAAATCTCTGTTTGGATTTACTCATTTGATGTTTATTGAATTTAGCCAAAACAAGGTAAAGACTCCTCATCCATGGCATAGTATTTTAAAGTCATGCAAAACAATTGTGCTTCAGCTAAATTATTTTGTAGATTGTGAAAGCATTTTTAGCAATGAACAAAAATATTCTGCTTTTGATGTTTTGGAGGGGGAAATCAATAAAACCTCTTAAGTATGTGACATAAAGAAAGGAGTATTATATAGGATACAAAAAGCTTTATACTACAGTTAGTCTAATGGTCATAACTGTAAATGGTATTGGAAAATGTATATAGTAAATTAAGTCTCACAAGCTCTGAATTTGCGGCGGGCAATTTAAAGAGGATTTCCTCACTTCTTCCCTAGGGGAGATGAGTGGGGGATCTCTCACACAGGCCTGCCTCTTCACCATCCATCATTTCAAAGGGACATATATCGGTCTCCAAAGTGCTTTAAGGCAGCTGCAAGCAAGTGTCACTTTGAGTTAAATGCATTATTAAACTGTTGGGAAATTTCACATCATGGGTCATTTATCTATGCTAAATTGGGTCAAAAGCCTCTACACATGCCTAGATAAATGAGAGAGAAGAGCAAAATTCTCCTGTGGGAAGTAGTACTTTGACAAGCTTTATGAGTGTGGTTTATTTATTTATTGAGTAGCCATGGGGAAGGGAGGTTTTCTTGTTTTTGTTGTATATGTGCATGTAGTTATTTTAAGAGCTCATCAAACAAACACAGCACAGAAATAGTCTTATCTAATAAATATAGTTAGTATTTACCACCCCTACAATGCCACAAATTAGATTTTGTGGAAAGCATAAATCATTAAATATTCATTTAACAACCATTTGAGTGTGTTCTGTGTGTCATACATTGTATAAGAAGTAGGGAGTGTGAAAATAATTATTTTAGGTGTAACTTTAAATCCTAAATTCTGCAGTTATTTCCAGCATGGTGGGAAATACCTGATTGCCTTATATTTATATTTTTAAAAAATGGAGTGTGGATGCAGACAAGGGAAGGATTAGTTCTTCCAGACTTTAAAAGAGGCAGTGCAGGAGAGAGAGCAGGGCCTTCAATGATGGGTAGTGATTTGCCAGATAAAGGAAGTCCAGGAGTCCAGTTCCAGGATGAAGGAACAGCGGGAGAGAAGAAAGAGGGAAGCAGAAATGGAGTTATGATGATGATGTAATTAAGGACATAATTATAGAGTGCCCAAATTAGGACACTTTATAGAACAAAAGGGGGCACTATTAATAAGTAAACTGGGACAACAGATATAAACCAAATCTGTCCCAAACAAATGGAAACACACGGTTAACTGAGGTGTGTCCTTATCCTTGCAAGGGCTTACATGCTGATGTTACAGTATTAGTAAAAGGTGATGTGAATGTACTTACTGCCACTGAACTACACATCTGAAAATGGGCAAAATGGTAAATTGTATGTTATGTATGTTTTACCACATTGTGGTATTCACACAATGGAATCCTGCTCAGCAATTAGATGGCTTCCCAAAGTGCTGGGATTACAGGCATGAGCCACCATGTGCAGCCTTTGTTATTGATTTCTGATTTAATTACATGGTAGTGGAAAAGTATACTTGGCGTAATTTAAATTCTCTTAAGTTTATTGAGGCCTGTTTAAGGCCCACCACATGTCCTATGATGGAAAATATTACATATCCACTTGAGAATAATGTATTTCTGCTGTTGTTGAGTGGAATGTTCTAGGTTCTAGGTTTATTAGGTCTAATTGATTTATAGTCTTATTCAAGTCCTCTATTTTTTTTTTTTTTGACATACCTTGTTGTTCTATCCATTACTGAAAGTGGGATATTTTAAGTCTCCAACTATTGTAGTTGAATTTTGTCAGTTTCTGGTTTATCTACTTTGAGGCTCTGTTTTAGTTTTATGTATACATATTTATAATTTTTATATGATGCTGATGGACTGACCCTTTTAGCAGGATAAATATCTCTTGTAATCTCTAGTATTATTTTTGTTTTAAAAATCTATTTTTTCTATTTCTATTACTATAGGTATGTTAGCTTTTTTTTTTTTTCTTTTTTTGAGACAGTCTCACTTTGCTGCCCAGGCTGGAGTGCAGTGACACAATCTTGGCTCGCTGCAACCTCCGCTCCCCAAGGCTCAAGTGATTCTCTTGCCTCAGGCTCCCAACTAGCTGGGATCACAGGCACATGCCAACACACCCAGCTAATTTTTGTATTTTTAGTGTATATGAGGTTTTGCCATGTTGTCCAGGCTGGTCTCAAGCTCCTGGCCTCAAGTGATCCCCCCGCGTCAGCCTCCCAAAGTGCTGGGATTACAGGTGTGAGCCTCTGTGCCCTGCCACTCAGCTTTCTTTTGGTTGCTATTTGAATGATATATATTTTTCCACCCTATTACTTTCAATCTATTTGTGTCTTTGGATCTATATAATGTGTATCGTATAGATAACACATAGTTGAATCATAGTTGTTGTTTTTAAATCCAGTCTGAAAATCTCTGTTCTATCCACTCACATTTAATGTTGTTATTAATATGCTTGGATTTATGTATGTCACTTAAGTTTTTGCTTTTGGTGTTTCATATCGTTTTATGTTTCTCTGTTCCTCCATTTCTTTCTTTTGCATTGAGTGAGTATTTTGTAGTAGAGCATTTTAATTAATTTAGTTCTTTTTTCACTGTATTTTTTGAGGTTTTTAAAAAGTGGTTTCTATATGGTTTCCCCACAATATACATCAATATAGATGATCAGAATCAAATTTAGATTTACACCAACTTCAATGAGAAGTAGAAATCCTATTTCTAGATAACCCTATACTTTCTTACCCTCATTTTGTGCTATTATTTTTAAATGCATTATATTTACATATGTTACCAGCCCAAAATAACATTATAACACTTTACATGAATTTATGCTTTCAAAGGAGCTGAGAAAACAAAGAAGAGGAAGTATATATTTCTAGAGTTTTGTTATATTAACCTTATTTATCATTTGATCTATTTCTATGGATTTGAGTAACCATTTGGTGTCCATTCCTTATTCAATACAGCTTTTCTTTCATTCTGCTCCTTTGTGCTGTTACTGTCAAATATAATCCCAACAAAACAATTACAAGTACGTATCGGTTGTTGAACACAATCGCTTTTTAAAATTCATTAATGAAGAAATAAAAAGAAATATGAATTTATACTCTCTTTTATAATTACATAATTATCTTTACTGGGACTCTGTTTTTTTATGTGGATTTGAAATACTTTCTGGGATTACATGTTTTCAGGCAGAAGAAATTCTTTCAATATGTCTTATAAGGTAGATCCGCTAACAACAACAACAAATCTGTTTTTATTTATTTTTGAAAGTCTTTATTTTGCCTTCATTTCAGTAAGGTAGGTTTGCTGGATATAAGATTCTTAGTTGAAAGACTTTGAAGATGTCATTCTACTTCCTTCTGGACTCACGTTGTTTCTGATGAGAAATCAGCCATTCATGTTATTGGAGCTTACTCACAAGTGATAACTTGTCTTCTTCTTGCTGCTTTTAAGATTCTCTTTGTCTTCTGACATTTTTACTAAGATGTGTCTGATATGGCTCTTATTGTGTTTATCCTACTAGGTGGTTATTGAAATTCTTGGAAGGGCAGGTTAATGTTTTTCATCAAATTTAAGAAGTTTTCAGCTATCATTTTTTTTGAATATCTTTTCTACTCCTTCCTTTCTCTATTCTGCTGATGCTCCCATTATTCATGTGTTGCTGAGCTTCTGATTGGTGAGAGTTTCTCTGAGGGGCAGATCGTTTTTCTTTGTTAATTTTTTCTCTATTTTTCAGATTGCAAAATCTCTGTCTCCAAGTTCATTAGTTCTTTCCTCTGCTTGCTAAAATCTACTGCTGAATTGCTGCAGTAAATGTTTTATTAAAATTATCGTACTTTTCAGTTCCAAAATTTTTTATCTCTTATAATTTTTATATCTTTATTTTAATCCTTTATTTGATGGGACATTATCGCACTTTACTTTTTTTAAGCACAGCTTTCCTTAGTTATTTGAATATATATCTAAAATATCTATTTTTATATTTTTGTTTTTATCTAGATCTAACATCTGTGCTTTCTCAAAAGCAGTTTCTATTGCCTGTTTTTTCTCCTGTTGACTTGTAGTTACATTTTTTCTCTTTATTTGTGTGTTTTGTACATTTTTGTTCTAAAAACTAGACATTTGTAAAAAGTCTTGTAACTACCCAGAATGCTAATTTTTCACTCTTTCCCAAATCTGTCTTTGTATCTTTTCTTGATTTCTCTGTTAAGCTGTCTGCCTTAGTTTGTATCACAGAAAGCTGTTAGCCTCCACTAATTTCCAGTTGTTTGTTTTATTGTTTCCAATTATTCCCTGAGGATATAAATTGCTCTAGCCTGATTCACTTAAATGCAGGCCATTTTTCAAAGGCAAATTTTGAGCCCAGTTTTTGAGGTTTGTTCCTTTTTCTAGCCGTCACTTCTTGGTTCTCTCGTTAAACCTATAGCTTGTTTGTAGCTTTTCTGGAGCTACCAGCATCCTCTTAATTGCTAGGCTTGACCTTTTCTACATTTATTCCAAATAAAGTCAGTTTCTTTGTAGAATTTCTCCACCCCTTAAGCAAACCTCTGCACCACTGCTCAGGAGCTTGGGAAGGGGAGAATGATCCACTTTTCGAGGAATGACACCCCCACTTCACATGTGGGGCAATGAGGTGGAGAAGCAGCCTCTGGTTTTCTTGGTTGCCTGTTCCGAGGTATAACATCTACCTTATGAGCAAACTGAGTGGAGGGCCCTTGGGGCCACTGTATTCTCACTCTACCACCCCTGGGCCCTTGCTTCTACCTATGAGTGGGAGCTGAATGGATGAAGAAAACCCGAGACCTCTTGGCCAGTCTTGTGTAGCATAGAGGTCCTGCAGCATGTAGCTTGGAATATGAGAAACACTGGCAACCTGTGTCTTCCAGGGAGGTAATGTCGCCCTTAACTGAGAAGTGGAGGGAAAAGGAGTCCTGTGTTCTTGACTGCACCCACCAAAATGGAGCCCCTATCATGCTGAGTTGGGTGGCGGGGAGTGGGGGAGCTAGTCTTGGCTCAATTACCACAGGATTGCTGTTCTTATTGAGATTTAGTAGATTTTTAAAAAATAAGTGTTTCTTCACTGGCTGCATTGCCTTAAGAAAATTTCCAGAGATTTGCATTATTTTAAACTATACACTTTCGCCGGTTATGGTTGTTTCCCTAGTGACAGGGTCTGTGTTACTCTTCATATCACCATCTAAAATTATCTTTTGAAAGGAGTTTATCCAATCTGAAGGCAATTCCCTAATCATTTCTATGTCAAAGAAAGGGGCCTCTAGGTATAAAAAGTAAATTTTAAAAAGAGCCCTAATATTCACACCAGAACAGCTCTTTCCTCTTACTATCTTGATGCTGCCAGCATGTGATATCTCTCTGGTATTAATACTGGCACCTGAGCCATTTTCCAGACACTGAACTTTGAAACTCATCAGAAGAATGATTGAAATACTAACAACTGGGATGTTTTTATTCTAAAAATGTTCAGTTCTTATTCTGAAATTATCTCAGTTCTCTCCTTACATATAGTAAAGACAAATAAAAGGAGATAATCATATCTGGATAATATTGCATTATGTGACCACAGAGGTACTTCTGAATTTTCATGAAATGCTTTGTTATTACTATAACAATAACAATACATAGCCAGTTCTAGTCCTCTAATACTAACATCAGTGCTAAGAGGTAGGTACCATTTTACCCCCATTTAACACGTGGGGAACTGGAAACTTAAGTTCACATAGCAAGCAAGTAGTAGAGGGGAGACTGAGAACATGAATCTCAGACAGATGGATTCCAAAGCCTCAGTCTTTAATCACCTTATCATTGTTTCACACTTCTCTAGTGTTAACCAATGCTAGAAACATTCATTAAGTACTGCATCTTACAAAATATTGTCCAGAGATCCCTGAAAGTCCTCAATACTCATTCAGGGATCCATGAAACTGTTTCATAAAAGCTATTTTCATAATATAAAGATATTATTTGCCTTTTTCATTCTGCTTCTCTCACTGGTATACAGTGGGGTTTCCAGAGGCCACAATACCCTGATTGGGAATGCTTCATTTGTTTGTATAGCTTTGTATCCTGTATCTCCCTTTCTATTGCTAATGTGTTAAACATTGATAGATATAACCCAAACATATGAGGATCTTTGAGGCTATTTTTAAAGTTGCAATGGAATCCTAAGACCAAAATTTAGTTTGAGATCCACATATTTAATTAATGCTACTGTAAATTATTCTAAACCATGTGGAACCATTGTTCTTCTATTTCTATGTATTCAATATTTTTAGATTCCAAATACATGTGAGATCATGCAGTATTTTCTTTTTCTGTGTCTGGCTTGTGTCACTTAGTATAATGTCCTCTAAACCGTTCCATGTTATTGTAAATTGTACCATATCTTTCCATTTTCAAAGCTGAATAGCATTTCATTGTATATGTATAGCACAATATACAATTTAAAAAACATATTTGGAAGGAATTGAGTTTACATAACATACAATTTATAATTCCATGGCTTACAGAAAGAAAAGAAGTCCTTTTGCCTGTGATATGACATCACTAAAATTTTACTATTTTTACATTTTCTTTCTTAATTTGCCTTGCCTATCTTTAAGTTTAGAGTTAAAAGTGTAATTGTAGTGACAATTTACCCTAGTTGTCTGATAACATATTATATTTTACTTATGTCAAAAATTTGGGGGTATCCTTTTTAGATATTTTATTGGTTCTATGTTATAATGTGCTTTAAACTTTTTAAAAATAGAAGTAACTGTAAATGTGAATTTTGCAAATTCAATACACTTCTTATGTTAATGAAAGTGGTCTGAATTAACACTCTTCCCTTTCATCCTTTTTTTTCTTATTCATAAAATGACACTCTGTGGATGTGGGATAATGGAGGAATCAATTTTCATAACTGTGTGTTGTAAGAATTTCACAAAAGTAAACAAAAACTTAGCTGGTCTGACATCTTAAATAGAGTTTTTTCTGTTTACTTACAGTAGTTTTGCTGCATTAATTGAAACTTAATCCCTCAGGAAATGGGGTACAGCACATCTCAGAGTATTTCACCCAAGATCTGAGGAGTCCAGGGCATCATTTAAACATCAACTCCTGACAGTCATTGTTTGAGGGCCATATTAGTTTTCCAGTGCTGCCACAACAAAATACCACAGACTGGGGGGCTTACACAATAGAAATTTGTTTTCTCACAGACTTGGAGGCTAGAAGTCCTAGATCAAGGTGCTGGGAGACTTGGTTTCTTCTGAGGCCTCTCTTACTGGCTAGCAGATGGCTGCCTTCCAATATGTCTTCACCTAGTCTTTCCTCTTTGGCCATGCATCCCTGGTGTCTCTCTGTGTGTCCAAATTTCCTCTTCTCATAAGGACACCAGTCAGATTGGATGAGGGCCAACCCTACTGGCCTCATTTTAACTTAATCTCTTTAAAGGTCCTATCTCCAAATACTGTCACACTCCAAAGTCCTGGAGGGTAGAGTTCCAACATATGAATTTTGTGCCGGCACAATTCAGCTCCTAGCAAGGGATGTGCTGAGGTAGGAGGATTTTTTTTTGAACTACTTCTGATGTAGGCAAAGCAGGCTCAAGCTGCCAGTATAAATCTATGACAAAGAAATGCAGCTGTTCCCAGCTAGAAGTCAAACATGCACTGCAACTGTGAGGGCAAGGGTATATGGGTGGGGCAAAACAACATCTTCCATCTCTACAGACAAAATTACGAGTATCCTAAGGTTGACCTTATCAATTCATACATGGTGTAGTCTCTTTGTTTCAAGAGAGTAATGACCATATACATGCACATTTGACCAAATACATCTATCCACATTCTGTGTAAGTACCGAGAGAACAAAATAAATGACACAAAGGGTTCATAGTCTATTGGGGTATATGATGTGAGTTCATTCATGGAAGAGATAGAGCCATGGGACATGGTGCCATGGGAGAGGGTGGGGAAATGAGGATACAGGTCATCAAATAGTGAAGGCTTTCATGCAGTGGTGACTCTTGAGCTGATTCTTGGAAAATAGATAGAAATCCATAAAATTGGCAAGAAGTTTGAGACAGAGATATGGAAAGAATTTTGCATATGGAGTAAGCAGGATGGAGGTGGAAAGATAAGGATGGTGCATTAGTGCACTTAAATGTCCTATGGCAATGAGCTAGCATTTTTCAGTAGAGATGCTGGTAGAAAAGGCAGCTCTACTCTCCACTTCTTAGATTATAAACCATAGAAGGAACTTATTCACAGGTATTTTGTACTCAGCAATGCATTCAGAGGCTTTTCTCTTTCATTTTTTTTTCCTCATACAGTTGCAGAAGAGCAAAGTGACAAAAAGCAAACTAAGGCTTTCTCTGCAATTAGGAGTAAGCAGTTAAAGTTGTTCTCTCTCTCTTTGTCTGTCTCTCTCTCTCTCTCTCTCTCTCTTTCTCTCTCTCTGGAGAACCCAAAGCTGCTGGCAGCTGAGAAAAGCCACATGGAAGGATTTTTTATGCCAAGCTGGCTTGAATCCCAGAGTCATGCATATTCCTTTGAAAAGGGGTTTTGACTCCAGGCTAAGAAACCAGACTATGTTAGAAGGGAATATTCTCATCAAAGTCAGAGCATTTGCATTTAATTCAGCATTTTGCTCCATCCCAAGATAGCTTTTTTAGCTATTGCAAAATGTAAGACACTATTCCCCTGAGAAAGAAAAAAGGAATCATCCACTTGCCTTTTGAGACTTAAAATGAAGTGATTCCACAATTACCATGGGCTTGATTAGAACTGTCTTCCTAAGTAAAAAGCGATCCTGTTTACTTACGGTGCATGCATGCATACATGTGCTTGTCTACTTTAAAAAGGGAAACAAGCAATCTAAAGTAGAAATCTTTAGAATTACATGGACTTTAACATTTTTAAGGTTTAATGCATGGCTAAATTAAGGGCCAGCACTAATTGTCCTAAAGCATAATATCTTCACTTGTAAAGAACGTTAGAAGAAAAATTATAGAGAAATTGGGCAATTTATGTTAACTTCTGCCAAGGATATTACTAGACCAGGCAATATGTTACTCATCACATATTACATGAGACATGCTTATACTAAAAATTATTTGTTGTTTATCTAAAAACCAAGTTTAACTGAATGTCCTGTATTTTTATTTACTAAATATGGCGAACCTAGGTCACTCAAGTTCTAACTGCAAGTACCAGAACTCAAGCCAGGATTGCCTAAGCAAAGGTAACATTGTGAAGCATTGTGCGCTATTGATAGAAATATATCGTGGCACTATATTCAGTATTTTCTTTTCTTGTCTATGGAAAATGCTTGTGTACCGGTGTGCATTTATTTGTATGATAGTTAAAAGGCCAGTGTTTGAAATTCCTAACACCGAGGTTGGAATTAATGCTCTTCCACCCGTCACTTATGCAATGTTACTCGTATTTCTCTCAGAACCTCAATGTTCTTACTTGTTAAAGGGGGATTATTTTGCCTCCACTGATATGTAGGTAAATACAAGTTGACCAATTGGCTTCTGCCTGACACTGCATGAAAAGTTAAACTTGAATCATTTCATTATATCTTCACATGAAAACTCTGAGGGTAGACACTTGTAATAAGAATTCTGACTCCATCATTGTTGTTGTTGTTTTCTTTCTTTTCTTTTTTTTTTTTTTTTTTTTTTTTTTTTACTTTAAGTTCGGAGACACATGCGCAGAATGTGTAGGTTTGTTACTCAGATATACATGTGCCATGGTGGTTTGCCGCACCTATCAACCTGTCATCTAGGTTTTAAGCCCCACATGCATCAGGTATTTGTCCTGATGCTCTCCCTCCCCTTGCTCCTCACTCCCCCAACAGGCCCCGGTGTGTGTTGTTCCCCTCCCTGTGTCCATACCAGCTTTAAAGCTTCACCTCTCCTTCTTCCCTGCTGCCTCACATCTGGGCAAGCTGGTAAGAAAGCCAGAGTGCTCCCTCCTTTGGTGTTAGAAGGGAGTCCAAACAATGGAAACTCTCATCACATCCCCACCCCAACTATCATAAAAGCCTCAAGCCAATTTCCTTTCCTTGATCTCTCCAACCACTTAAGGATCAGCTTCGGAAGCCTGCCTTTTTCTCCCCGGAAAGACTCATTTTGTGACTAATAAACATTTCACACTCTTTTGGGGTGTGTGTGTGTGTGTCTTCAGTTTTAACATCTGAACCAAACTTTGGAAGGCAGTCCATCCTGTTTCTTTGGAGTGGCTACAAAATAATACTATTATTTCCATAATTTAGAGATGAGAAAACTTGGGCTTAAATGAGGATTAACTTGCCCCCATCACACAAACTAGTAAATTATGCATCTGACTTTAGAGCTGCAGCTTACGGTGTTAGGAAGATAAAATGAGGTCTTTCATAGGAAATGTTTAGTCCAGCACTCAACACATGTTTAATGCCCCATAAATACCACCCACATCTAGGTAAAACGGGGAGGTCAGCATGTGTGGACATTAAAGTAGGTTATCGATTCACTGTTGTGCCATCTGCACAGAACTCAGAGCTTTCCTAGAAATAAAGGTTTACATGCGTAGCAAACAACCACCTGATGCTTGCAAACACTCTATGGCTCGTTTTTCAAAGCACTGAAAATGCACAGCTTCCATAAGTCCAAGACAAGAAGTTTATTTTGCAGTCTCACATCTTTCATTCCCCGGTTGTTTGTTGGCTGGCTGTCAACATGGCAACCCTCATCTGTCATCAGTGTATGTGTGCCTTCTATGCACGGCCTTTCATGGAGACTTGTAGGATATGTCTTCTATTTGCCTGAAAGGTGGACACTCTGCCAAGACACTTATGAATCCTAGTGTTCTCTGCCTTTCTGTGTAAGGTACAGTCAAACCTCCCCTAATCTGAGAATGACATCTCCTGAAACCTCTGTGATACACCAGGAAATCACTAGGGGGACAAGCATAGACCAGTAGAATGGGATGGCTGGGAAAGTAATGGATTCTCTGTCTTAGAATAATTAGAAACATTATTGCAAATACTTTTGAGCTAAAACCGTCCCTCTAACTCTCTGGTAGTTGGAGAACAGGTGTTCTCTACAAAGAACCCCTCAGATTTTATTTTGCGTGGCAGAAAAATATTTGATAGGTAGCAAAATTACCATTATAGCTAAAAATACTTTTCTTGAAAATAGAGTCTCATCAAGGACTAAGACATGTATACTCACAGAATCCTAGAATATTAAGCTGGTCTTTCTTTTTTTTTTTAATTTTATGTTAAGTTCTGGGACACATGTGCAGAACGTGCAAGTTTGTTACATAGGTATACATGTGCCATGGTGGTTTGCTGCACCCATCAACCCATCATCTAGGTTTTAAGCCCTGCATGCATTAGGTTTTTGTCCTAATGCTCTCCCTCCTCTTGCCCTCCACCTACCGACAGGTCCCAGTGTGTGATGTTCCCCTCCCTGTGTCCATGTGTTCTCATTGTTCAACTCCCACTTATGAGTGAGAACCAAAAACATGTTTGGTTTTCTGATCTTTCTAACAGCCAGTACTATTTCTCCTCCTCCTCATTCAACTCAACTGCTGCTACCACTGTTAGTACAATTACTACTACTACTGCTATTAGTAATTGTAAGTAAGCATTCCCTAATAGTAGCTAGTTTATATCCTACATGCTATTCTGTGTGTGCTTTATATGCAGGATTCCATCCTCTTTATTATACTATTAAGTAGACTTTATTACCTCCCGCTTTTTTGAATGAGGAAACTGTTACATGAAGCTGTGCCCATGTTATTCAGCTACTTGCTAGCCAAGCACGGATTTGATCACTGCTTCTTTGGCATCTAATTACCTTTAAATATCACTTTGTTTGGTATTGTACTTTAGATATCTGTCCACTCCAAACCGCTTGTTGAAATTTTATCTCCAATGTTAGAAGTGTGGCCTAATGGAAGGTGTTTGGGTCATTGAGGCAAATCCTTCATTAATAGATTAATGCCCTCCCTGGAGGGAGCAGAGGTGTGAGTGAATTTTCAGTCTCTTAGTTCCCATGAGAGCTGGTTGTTAAAAATAGCCTCGCTCTTTCCCCAGTCTTTTGCTTCCTCCCTTGCCATTTGGTCTTTACATACATCATTTTCCCTCCATCTGTCACCACGAGTGGAAGCAGCCTGAGGCCCTCACCAGATCCCCAATCTTCATCCTTCCCCCCAGCAGAACCATAGCTCAATTGACCTCTTTTCTTTATAAATGACCATCCTCACATATTCCTTTATAGCAACACTACATGGAATAAGAAATCTGGCATCTTCTGGTAGAGAAATCTGAATCCCAGATAACATGGTAACTAGTTCAAGGTTATAGGATAGGGTTTCTAGAATTCAAGTTTGCCTGGCCACAGATAAATACTGACTCTCATTTTCTTTCCTTATAGAACAGTAAAATGTTAATTCTATATCCTCAGTGGTGCCTTTTCTAGCTTTCGTGCTAAATAAAGGTCCTGATATTAGAAAGGACACTTTGCATACTGCACTTACGGAATGCTACTGCTCTGAGAGAGAAGGTGGGAGGTGCTCAGTGTGTGAGTTAGATATGCTTGTATCTGTAGCAAT
The DNA here is from genome assembly GCF_000001405.40 of Homo sapiens. NCBI lineage: Eukaryota > Metazoa > Chordata > Mammalia > Primates > Hominidae > Homo > Homo sapiens. Next base: position 59,852,591 of record NC_000016.10, read on the forward strand.
ACCCTATATGTCCTTCTCTATCCTTCCCTCTCCCTCTGGATTTTTCTAATATTATATTACTTTCCCTTCTTTCAAGAAGAAACAGTTATCTATTCTTTTTGAGATAAGCCCACGACACATTGCATGCATCTCTTTTAGCATTTTTCACATGGCTCCTCAATGATTTTCACATCTATCTGTGTCTCCTAGACGGCAAGCAACCTGAGGATGAGAAGTGCATTGCGTGTTTATTGGCATCTCAGGTTTCTCAAATAACAGGCCCTTAAAGTCTCTGTAATGATTTCGCAGATGACTGACTGAATGACACTGAAATTGCCACTAGTTGGCAAAAGTGTTTTTGCTTGCTTCATTGAGGAGGGAGAAAAGGAGGTAACAGGTGAAACACAGGGGCTTGAGGGTCAGAGTGACATTCAGAGAGATATAGAGGAGATAGGTGGATGTTATCTTGCACACTCAGCTCCATAAAGTTGTACGAAGGACAAGCTAACATTAAGCGGAATCTGTAAGGCTATTTCTAAATAGATTATTCAATTACAGACATTTCTCCTGAATATAAGAGTTGCATACTGATTCACAGTAAAGGATACTTGGTAGCGTCAAATCTTTGATGTTTTCTGGGAAACAAAGAATGTGTTCAGCGAATGCTCTTTCATGCATAGAATACGATCAGTGCTATTCACCAGGTGACTCTTAAAGTGTCACAGAAAGACGTGAAGCTTCTGAGGGTGAAAAATTGCATCCAAAATATGCCTTTGATTTGCTTAAGGCACGTTAGAGGGAAGCATTCAGAATAGGAATGAAGTTTTAAAAGGACACTAACGAAAATAAGAAGCAACTTTAATATCTTCACTGTTGAACATCAGGAGGTATTTTACTAAGTGGCTTAAACGGAAAATATTTTTTTAAAAAGGAAAAGGATGACAGGCATTATCGAGCTGAACTGCAGAAAGAGTTTTAGGTAAATCCTCAGTGGTATTGTAGAAAGAAGTATTATCAACTCCTGGAATCATAGCACAGTGTCCATACATATTCAGGGCAAATTTTTCCTCAAATGTCAGCATATTACATTGCAAGTTTATATCTGATTTTCTGTCTGTTCTCATATCTTGGTCTCTTTTGGAATTGTTGATTTCAAACCATACTTTCCCCTCCCCCTGACTGGGTAACACTGAATATTTAGGGCGCTAAGAAATCAAAACCCAGAAGTTGTCAGTACTGAGGCACCTGCTGTGTACCTGCCCTGAATGTGTGAGTGGAAGACAGAAGCCTATGTTGGTGGAATTCATGTGGCAGTGAGAAAAGATAAATGTGACACAGTAGCCCCTACTCTCCATAGGGGATGAAATGATTATAAACAGGGAGTACTACTCCAGGGGTGTTTGTAGATATGCAAGGAAGACTCTTCAGGCCGTTTTCATTTTGGGGGAGTAGAAAAATAAAGCAAAGCCATAAAACGATGGCTATGTGAAAAGATGGACTAAAGAGAGGAGATGGCATAACTGAAAAAAAAAGTTGCCTTTTTGAATACATCTAAAACGCAATGGCTGAGGGGCATCTTCCTAGTCCGTCTCCTTGTGCCATTTGTGTACCTCCCACAAAAAAGGAAAAAAAAAAAAAGAAAGAAAAACCAGGATGGTTTTCAGTTGACTGCAATCCCTTATGCCCTTCCGCAGATACTGAACCACACACAAGCCTCTCTTGGTTAGTGTGATATGTTAAGCATGTGACCAATTATCACATAACAATCCTCACAACCACACACTGGAAAAAATGATCATCACTAGTTTTATAAATGACTTAAGATTTTTTTTTGAATGGATGCTCACTAATGTACTAAATCCCACACCCACCAGCACCATAACAGTTCTGGGAACATTCGTATTTGGTGTAAAAATGAGTGACACCATGGTTCTGAGAAATCTTCACTTTTTTCCAGAAATCTTTTTGAATATTCTACCCTTTGGTTAAAGAAACCTGTAAAGATAGGAACCCCAAACTTGAGTATGTCCGAACTCCCTTTTCTTGAGTGTGTATTTTAGCTTTGCTGTTAATTCCCATACTTTCAGTATTCCCTGATTTGTTCTTGATTTACCTCTGGTAACAAACGGTGTCTAAAAGCCTGGACACTGGCCTGGGTAAAGGTCCCGCTTGCATTTGGGGATCTCTCTTATCCCACTGGTGTCACTTAGACAGATGGCGTTATTTCTCTGAAACCCTTTCTTATATTAAAATGAGAATAATCATAGTTTCATAAAGTCATTTTAAGGATTGGCTATGATATGTCAAGTATTTAGCATAAATATAGGATGAATGAAGGGCAGTGGTGGTGCTGGTGGTGATGACGATGGTGTTGAAGATAATGATGCTTAATATGCCTATGCAAGAGGGAAGGGAGAAGCAAGTCTGATTTTTCCATCTTCTTTTAGAAATGCTGCCATCAGCAAAATTCATACTAGCCAAGAGAGATTATGTGTGGTTCAGGATCTCTGGAAGAGCATCAGGGATTGCAATGAACTGAGAACCATCCTAGGTTGGTGTGGGGGGTCCACAAAAGGCACAGGAGACGGACTAGGAAGAATGTTCCTCAGACAATGAGATTTTGGTTACACATATTCAAATCTGTGTGAATCTGGCATCAGGAGAAACAGCTCATTAGTATTTAATGCTGACACCGTGAATTCTGAATTATTTTGTGTCAATTAAACCTCATAAGATAACTGTGAGCTAAGGGTGCTTAACAAGGTATGAGGTGTTGAGGACACAGAAGAGTGCAGTATGTTTGATGGTCCTGCTTGAGCCATTTGCTCCAATTGGATCTGGTAAAAGTAGCGTGCTTGGAGACATATAAACATTTTAAAGAGACGGGAGACGTTTGATTGGACCTGAATAGAACTGCCATCTGTAAGAGATTCTGCACAAGTCCTGTGGGCAAAAGGTGAGTGAAAACTATAGGAGGCAAGTTTCAGGTTAGCACAAGGGGATAGAAATACCTAATAATCATAATAAAATTTATAGTAATACTAATAAAAGTATTTTAAGGTAGCATGGGCCACTAAATGTGTCCTATCCTTTCCTTAAAAGCATCCAAAAGATGCCAGGTATCCACTAAAAATATATATATTTTTAGAAGGAAAGACCTGCTGTGAGTGCAATATTGAGCTATATTACTCAAAGATTACCTTCAACCCCAAGATTTAAGAACTTTGATAGAGTAAGCTATTCATTTTACATGGTGTTTGTATTTTCACTTTATTAATACCTCCAATAGGTTGACTCTGCGAGTGCTGGCAAAACACAGTGAAGAAAACCAAAATATTTCACTACAAAATATACTTCTTTGACATATTAACAGAAGTTGCCTTGCAATGCTGTTTTATGTGGGGGGAGATTTGCATCTGTAGAGAATCTGTACTCTACCCCTTTCCCCTAACCTGGCCACGTCTTTGAGTTCTTATATTTTGTATGACTCATATGCATGTTATTAGATGCATATGCCTTTTCTCCTATGTTAAAAGAAAAATATTAGACAAATTAAATTTAACAATTTAATTGAGTAAAGAACAATTTGCAAATCAAGCAGCCTATACCCTGAGCCAGAATAGCTTTAGAGACTCCTGTGCTGTCCTTTGGTTGGAGAGGATTTATGGACAGAAAAGTGCCATAAACGAAACAGAAGTGAGGTACAGAAACAGCTGGATGGGTTACAGCTCAGTGTTTTTCTTATTTGGTTGGTGCCCTGTGATTGGCCAACACTTGATGATTAGTACAAAATGAGTTACAGCGCATTTATGTATAGTTTACAGGTCACTGTATATGGAGAAACCTTTAGGCCATACTTCCGAGGAGACAGCTTTAGGTTAAACTTAATTTAACACCTATTAATCTGCCTTTTGCCAATTGACTTTTCAGTGAATCTTCAGGGGGCAAAGGGGAAGTTTTCCCTTGGCCGCTACAACAAAGATGGGCAAAATAGCAACTCTTACCATTATAAATTTTTAACTAAGTATGTAAACTTAACTTTTCTTAAAAGAAATAACCAAATCCCATCCTAACATGTATCTTGTGTTTTAAAAGTATCTATTTTATTCTTTCCCTGCCTTAGTCTAATTAATGGCTGCTGGGTATTGTAAGCAGGTCAGGTGTATTCTTCAAGTATTTTATGCATAATAGAGGTTGAGATAATGTTTTTAATCTAAGGTAACAGAGATGATTATTACTTAATAAATGGCTCTGACTTTGTGTATTTGTGCAAATTTAAGAGCTAGAAAATCATGTTTGGGAATAGAGAATTTTGAATTACCTAAATTTTCCCAGTAATTTGATAACAATTATTTCTCATTCAGTAATTATTTTTTGAGGTGCTTTTTTTTTTTTTTGGTCAAAAATACCTCTTTATTTTTATAACTTTCTTTATATTGCTCTCATTTCCTGGTTTACCTTGTTTCATATATAACTCTTAAATAAGGTTTTAATTAGACAAAGATATTTTACCTTAATAAGAACATTAAAAAATTTCTTAAATTGGAAATTACCCAGAAACTTAGTATCAAATAATAACCTTAAATCCTAAATTATGACAAGTGTGTTTACAAGCATTTATTCCATTACATTTACCTGATTAATTTAGTAGTTTACCTAGGTTATTTGCAAAAAAGTGATAGCCAATATTTTAAGTTATTTTTCTATTAATGATTTTTATAGCTGTGAATTTGAGGTGTTTACTTAAGTAATAAAACTTATGGTTAGTTTTAAGGATATTTATACCAATATTTCAGTATTTAGCTGTTTTCATTTAAGCTAACAATATTTCATAAGCATATACAATCAAAGATCACTCTGTCTTGGGCTGGATTTTATAGTTTATAACACTTATGGCAAATCTTATAGTATTCTGTGGGAATAAACATGAAACCATTTGATCAATAGATGCAAAAAAATTCTAACAATTCTAAAGACATTGCTGATATTATTTTACCAATAATTTTAAAGCTGGCTAGATCCTTACTAAAATAAAATCTTATTTAGTAAAGATTTTACTTAAGTCACATGAACTTGAAAAAGCATTTGACTAGTGTTTTTTGTTTAGTATCTGATTTAAGCACTTTTTAAAGCCAATTAATTAGAGCTCTTCACATGTGTGTTTGTGTGTGTATATATAGTATTTTATTTTATTTGTTTTATTTATTTTTTTGAGACAGAGTCTTGCTCAGTCAGGCAGGCTGGAGTGGCACAATCTCAGCTCACTGCAACCTCTGTCTCCCGGGCTTAAGCAATTCTCCTGCCTCAGCCTCTGGAGTAGCTGGGATTACAGGCATGTGCCACCATGCCCGGCTAATTTTTGTACTTTTAGTAGAGATGGGGATTCACCGTGTTGACCAAGCTGGTCTTGAAGTCCTGACCTCAGGTAATGTGCCCACCTCGGCCTCCTGAAGTGCTGGGATTACAGGCATGAGCCACTGGGCCTAGCCTCTTCATATATTTTTAGTCGTGAAAATATTGTTTACACACACATAAATATATACATGTATTAGGCATGCTGGTAGAAGCACATCACATAGACTCATAAAGATCTTTTTGTTTTTGCCATTTTAAAAAATCTTACCCTAGGCAGTTGTCAGCTAAATCATCTTAAATTTGCATATTAAAGGCAACTCAGGTGAAATCAGATAGCAAAATTTACATCATAAGGTATGAAGAGAAAGTCTGGTATGCTAGAGGTGCTAAAAATGTAATAAAATAAAATCTTAATGATTGCCAAGAGCGGAATGAATTACAACTATAATCTCATTGCCACTCAGGAGTAGGGAATTAGAATAGTCTAATGGTGTCTATGGCATGTGTGAGGTGGACACTTCCATACGATGAGGAGCGTTTTCTATAAATGATTGACTGGGTCCTATCTCTGGTGTGTGACTGGAACATCCTGGATGCCACACGTACCCCAAAGTGGGTAGCACACAAATTTACATTTGCATCCATCTGTGTCTTTTTGACTATCTCTGTTATTAGTCTCCTGGTGGCTCACCATCCATGGGAAAATGAAGCAGCTCAGAAATGAACTCATTAGCTCTCTTATGCATCTAATAAGGCGGTGATAACTACAGATTTCAATCTGTAGTCCCCTGTAGAGTAATTCTCATTTTTCTAACCTGTCATCAGATAACATTAAGGTCTCAGTGAAAAACAATTGTCTTTCCAAATCGTCTTTCGGGTAGCTAAAAGTAAGAATTAGGCCACTTATTTGTCTGATTTTCCTAACTAGAGGTAATAAGCTTGTAAGGAAAATAAAATTTGGTAATTATACATATCAAATGTCTAACATGTTCTCTGGAAAGGTAAATTATATGTTGTCATACAAACATACAATAGGCAGAATTTCTCAATTACTGTGTAATGAACATTCTGAGAGGAAGGCAGAAGAATATGAAAATGTAACTACAACATCTTAATACATGACATTCTGGTGTCTTTTTTTGCATTTTCTTTTTTTATTTTTGTTGTTACTATTATTATTATTATTATTATTATTATTATTATTATTATTATTGAGACAGGGTCTCGGTCTGTCATCCAGACTGGAATGCAGTGGCACAATCTTGGCTCACCACAACCTTGGCCTCCTGGGCTTAAGTGATCCTCCTACCTCAGCCTCCATTCTGGTGTCTTTAATTGAACCCCTGAAACAAAATTCTCTACTATTCCCACCCCCACAAATATTATGTGACAAGTATTTTACAATCACTTCTATTTCAGAGGAATTCTAGATATTCCTGCACTGGAATGTTATAGCAATGTCTTAGATTAATTACTCAAAACATTTCAGCAATCACAAGATTTGATTTATAATCACCAATAAACCATATATAATTAATATTGATGACATATGAAATGTAGCTTCCATTGTGTACATTTATCCAATAATGGCATGAGATGGTCACTATCCTGATTGTAAGTTTTACTGAAGGTCATGTGGTAAGTCAGGAGTGTTCTTCACAAACAGAAATATCTCAGGTAATGAATTGAATTTTAAGCCTTTGAATGATGACACATACATACACAACCTGAATTTTTTAAGCCTTTCAGCAAGTATAAATCAAAGCACATTCAATGTTTAGGCTTGGAAATTCAGCTCAGCTTCAAGTTGGGCTTTGTGGTTGATTATCCTTTTCCAAACTGTTCAAAGACATCATCAATCAGATTTGAGAATCCTGGAATGAGTATTAAACTCAGCACATGAGTAGATTAGAGTCCAGCAATGAAAAGAAATGTATATTTTGATTTATTTCATTAGGGTTGCTTTCTGAAGACATTACAGATTGCAAAACTGTTCTCCTGCATTACCATGATGAGATCATTCTGCAGAAGTGGTGCTAATGTCTGTATTTAACAGAGAACGTTTGCAGTGATAGATAGAAACCAAAACATAAAATCTGCAAATCAATATGTTTCTGGTTATTTCTAAGTGTTACCCACATTTGCTGGAGACTGAATCTACTTTCAACCAGGGAAAATATATTAGCAAGAACATCCTGAGAATTAAATTATAAATGTCTGTTATAGATTTTCAATGTTTCGCAATCATGATCTTGTGAATAGTTATTTCCTGTGGCTTTGGCCCATTGCAGTTTACAATTTTTTCTTTCCCAATAGCTAACTATGAAGTGGACGGTAGTAACTATGATCATTATTTTTTTCTTTTTTATCCTTTGCTTTCTACATTGCTCTTGATGTCTTAATAGAAACACATCTTATTAGAGTAACATCACTGTCAGTCATTTTATAAACTGCTGATACTAGAATCAGGTCTAAAAGCTAGCTCATGCCTGTAATCCCAGCACTTTGGGAGGCCGAGGCAGGCAGATCACGAGGTCAGGAGTTCGAGACCAACCTAGCCAACATGGTGAAACCACATCTCTACTAAAAATACAAAAATTAGCCGGGTGTGGTGGTTGTGCGCCTGTAATCCCAGCTACTCAAGAAGCTGAGGCAGGAGAATCCCTTGAACCCGGGAGGTGGAGGTTGCAGTGAGCTAAGATCACGTTGTGTAATCTTACGAAGTTTATCAGCCTTTTGGAAGGTCTTGGTCTGGTCCCTAAGGTTATGTTAGATCCTTGACATCTACTAAATTCCATTAAATGATGCACCCTGAAGGACGCAGGAAGCATTGACATTAGAGTAAAGGAATAACTGACATTAAAGTAAACGAATAATTGTCTAAAATTTAGGCCAATGCTAGTAATTATAATAATAAACAACTGATGGTATTTGAACTTTTCCTATATGATATGCCAGATGGAAATACTTATTTAACATGGATGATCTTAATTCTCATGATCTGCTCAACCTTATGAGGTAGGTACTATTATTAACCTGATTTAGAAGTTGGGAAACTGAGGCTAAGGAAAGTAACATCTCCCCCAAAGTAGTATGACTGCTAAGAGTCAATATTAGGATCTGGTTGTAAGCATCTACCTTCAGGAATAGCACTTGTAACGCAGCTGTGCGAAGACCAGCTGTCTGAGTGTCTGTGTAGAGGCATGTGAAAATGCCACATGATGTTTTACCAAACATGTTCTGGTCTCACCCAAAGCACCTGGGACCAGTCTGGCAGCATGGTGCCCTGGTTGGATGGGTAAGGATGCAATAGAAGAAAAGAGAGAGATGAAAGTATTTTTTCTTATCCATATTAATTAGACTACTAAGGACCCTGACTTGTAGTACAGTTAAATGGTATTCAAACTAGAAATGCTTAAAATTCTTTGGCAATCATTTAAAAATTGTGAAGAATATTTTTTCACTTCCCTCTAAGGGCCATTTGTTCTCACATTCTAGTATGTTAATTCAATAGAGTTGTTGGCATAAACAAAGGCGATTGATGTTATAGGCTAGTTTTAACACGATCTCATTCATAAGAATATTAAATTATTTTAGGCAAAGTGGCTGTGTCAAACTGAATAGAAATAAAAGGAAAGTGGTAATTAGACTATGTTAAAATATAACCTCCGAGGATATAAAGTATGCAAGAGCTCATCCATGAAAAATTAGACTGCAAGAGGTTATACCACATGTTAGGTTATTTTGTAAGATATCAAATTACTTCTCATGAATAAATATGACTAATAATGGTAACTATAATTTAATGCTATAATATTAAAAATACTTTTTGACTTAAAAAAACCAAACTAATTATATATTTGATCCTTTTTATTACCCAATATTAAGTTAATATGAGTTAAATGAATCATTTCTGCTAACTTTACCAAACTTTGAGAGATTCTACATTTTAAACCCTATCTACAACATATTTTAATAAATACTACTTAATGAATACTGAGATTTAAATTTCAAATGGAAATAATACACAAATTATTTTACCTTGTGGTAAGTATGTCAAGTAGCCTGACAGAGTAAAATGAGGGTCTTTCTTATGTGTCCGGTATTTTGCTAGGTCCTGAGGTTATATGACAAAATAAGAAAAGATAAAACAATTGCAAAGAGTTAGTCATATTTTAAAAACTTACCATTTTATATATATATATACAGACACATATATATATACACACACACATATGTATGGCTGCACTCCAGCCCAGGTGACAGTGCAAGACTCCGTTGCAAAAAAAAATATATCAGTATACACACACACATATATATATATATACACACACACATATGTGTATGTATACACATATATACATATATACACATATATACATAAGGTTGAGCAGATCATGAGAATTAAATAAGATCATCCATGTTTATATATGTGTATATATATGTGTATATATATACTGAAATACTTATTTAACATGGATGATCTTATTTAATTTTCGTGATCTGCTCAACCTTATGTATATATGTGTATATATATATATACACACATATGTGTGTGTATGTGTATATATGTGTGTGTATATATATATATTTTTGAATATATACACACATATGTATATATGTGTATATATATGTGTGTGTATGTATATATATATGTGTGTGTATATATATATATTTTTTTTTTGCAACAGAGTCTTGCACTGTCACCTGGGCTGGAGTGCAATGGCGCGATCTTGGTTCACTACCTCTGCTTCCTGGGTTCAAGGGATTCTCCTACCTCAACCTTCCGAATAGCTGGGATTACAGGTGCCCACCACCACGCCCAGCTAACTTTCTGTATTTTTAGTAGAGACGGGGTTTCGCCATGTTGGCCAGGCTGGTCTCTAACTACTGATCTCGTGATTTGCCTGCCTCAGCCTCCCAAACTGCTGGGATTACAGGTGTGAGCCACCATGCCCGGCCCCTTTTAATATTTTTAGCTGTGAAAATAATGCATCAAATATGATGACATCCCTGTCTCATTGATGTGAAGAACCCCCACGGGGAAATAGGCTAAGGAAAAGGAAGAATCTATGAGGGGATGGATGGAAGTGTACAGAGAAGGTGCTGTCCATTAGATTCTGGGTAGCTGATAGTCTGGGTGCTGGTTTGCTTTGAATTTCTCTCTTTCGAGGTTTTGCTCAACCTCTTCCCCATCTTGCTTTTGTCTCATGTTCATCTGCTTTGTCATTTCACTTGCTTACAATACTGTCGGAGGCGTTTGAACCAGAGAGACTCCATCTTGAAGAGGGGCTGGATAAAATAAGGCTGAGACCTACTGGGCTGCATTCCCAGACTGTTAGGCATTCTAAGTCACAGGATGATATAGGAGGTTGGCACAAGGTAGATACAAGTCATAAAGACCTTGCTGATAAAGCAGGTCTCAGTAAAGAAGCCATCCAAAACCCACCATAACCAAGATGGTGAACAGAGTGACCTCTGGTCATCCTCAATGCTATACACCCACCATGCCATGACAATTTATAAATGCCATGGCAATGTCTGGAAGTTACCGTATATGGTCTACAAAGGGGAGGCATGAATAATCCACCCCTTGTTTAGCATATCATCAAGAAATAACCATAAAAATAACCCTTGGGGCTGTTCTGTCTATGGAGTAGCCATTCTTTTATTCCTTTATTTTCATGATAAACTTGCTGTCACTTTGCGAACTCACCCTTAATTCTTTCTTGCATGAGATCCAAGAACCCTTTCTTGGGATCTGGATCAGAACCCCTTTCCAGTAACAATATCATTTGCAGAAAATTCTTAGTAGTGAGGGCACTAAGAGAATACTTCCCCTTTGCCATCTGTTGACTGAAAATCATTGACAAGAGGCAGATCCATAGGAGAAAAGGCATACAAATTTTCCTGGTCATGGTTTTATGTGACATGGGAGTCTTTAGAATGAAGACCCAAAGATACAGGGGAAACTGTTCATTTTTATGCATGGGTTCAACAACATATGGACAGCCATGTAGAAATATTTCGGGACAAAAATGAAACCACCCTGACAGGGTTGACAAGAATTGCATGTCAGTTTCTTGACAGAAATATAGTTATAATTAAGCATGAATCAGGCTGCATTCTGGCCTGTTTCCTTGTTGCTGAAAGTCAGGTAATACCAGATACCGACCCTTTCCATCCCCATTGTTCCTATAGATAGGAGTTCTGACATTAGAGTCACAAGAATGATTAAGAATTGATTTGCATCCCCATTGTTCCCACAGACAGGATTCTGACATTAGAATCATAAGGCTCCTGTTTAAGGATCCTTGGAGATGTTTTTTAGACACCGAATTCCCGAACCCAGTTTGAGGACTCCCACAGAGGAACAGGATCAGCATGTGGATACAACTTCTTCCTCTCCCTGTTCCATGACTTCACCCTGCACTCTTCAACAATCAGTGATCTCTGATCACCACACTTCAGCCCACTCCAAAATCCTTAAAAACTTAACCCCAAGTTCCTCAGGGAGATGGATTTGAGGTTTCCTCCTGTCTCCTCATTCGAGGGCCCTACTATTAAACCTCTTTCTCTGCTGAAAGCTGGTGTCTTGGTGTATTGACTTGCCATGGGTATCAGGCAATGAACCTATTAGGGTCAAAAAAAGGTTGTAACCTAATGCTAACAGACTTAGTGGCAATATCCAGCAAGACCTGTCTATCTAGATTCGTCTTGGCCTCTCTGCACATTCATTTCTCTTCTCTGAGCATGGAACATGACCCTCTCTGGAATAGGGGTCTTATGACTATAACGAAACAAGGTAGGTCAGATAATTTCTGTAAGGCCAGGTTTTACACAGGAAGGTAGGGAGGGAAATTGGAGTAATATTTTTAGGGTTTGTGGCTGGCTTGGGAGAAAAGGGGTTCTAGTTTTTTATGACTAGCCTCAGGGGAGAATGAGGGGCCAGAGACAGGAGGTCAGGGGAAGGTCAGAGAGAGTTGCTTCTGAGGACTTCATTATGTGGTATCATTTTCTCAGACCCTACATTAGCTAAAGAAACCATTGAGTAAGTTTCCTAGTAAAAAACTCCATCCCATGCACTTCTCAGGCCCAAGGATGAACAGATAAAACTACTGGCACTCTGCCTTTCCTTAACTATATTTAAGCCTATTGGGAAAATACACATAACAGCAAATAATCCAAATGCAGCAAGGCATCCGTCCCACTGTTTATAGAGTGAAGTAAGAACTGAGAAGGAAAATAAACTCAAATCAGTCAGGGGAAGGTCAGAAATTTTTCACAGAAAGCCAAGCATTTAAACTGATGATTAAAAGTTTCGTAGGTACTTACTAGAAAGTCTAGCATAAATCAGGCAGCCTAAGTGAAGAGAAATAGTGGGAAAAGTGAATGGGGGTAGTGGACAGCATAAAATATTTGGGAAATTCAAAGTTTAGCATTCCTGGAGTATGAAGCTGCATGGGTGTTGGATTTAGCAGTGGAAGGAGTTTAGTCTATGGGGATACACAGAATTATTCCTATGGAGAGTGCTGTAAATATCCAGCTGCAGGCTTCTTACCATTGTTCAAACTTCAGTGCTGTGTTTATAATCGCCAAAGGCACATTTGTCTGGAATTTCAAATATCACACATCTACAGAATGATGTCATAATTTCTCCTAAATCTACTCCTTCTCTTGTGCTAGGAACATTTTTTTAAAACCACACTATAGGCCTGGGCCCGGTGGCTCACACCTGTAACCCCAGCACTTTGGGAGGTCAAGGGGGTGGATCACTTGAGATCAAGAGTTCGAGACCAGCCTGGCCAACATAGTGAAACCCTGTCTCTACTAAAAATACAAAAATTAGCCAGGTGTGGTGGTGGGCCCCTGTAATCCCAGCTACTTGGGAGGCTAAGGCATGAGAATCACTTGAACCCGGGAGACAGAGGTTGCAGTGAGCTGAGTTCGCACCACTGCACTCCAGCCTGAGTGGCAGAGCAAGACTCTGTCTCAAAAAACAAAAAAAAACTCCATACTACACACAACTTTGAGTCACTCATGTTTGAAGTGTATTGTCCAATATACCACCAGGAGGGATAAATTATAGAAAGAAGAGTTTTATTGGCAATATTAGTTTGCAAGCCAGGAAGAGACAGTCTCCAGCATGGCCCAAGGAACTCTGTTTGAAGAGGGAAAGGGCAGTTTGGGTTTTATGGCATTATAGCACCTGTGTCACAGAATAGATGCATACATATTCAGCACTTTTGGGGGAAAAGATATACATATTTATGAGAGGAGTCAAGAACATGTGCAATGGGTAAACATATATGTAACAAATATCCCATATTCACTGCGTGGCAGGGTTTTAACATTAAAATGAGGTAGAATGTGGTTCTTCACATCAAAAGATGACCTGTAGGACACAAAGTTTGTGTGTCGGCTCTTTAAGCTGCCTGAAACTGGCTCAAGGTCTGTAGTTGCTTTTCAGAAAAAGAAAAAAAAAAGTTTGTAAGGCTGGTCCTTTGTCCAGTAAGAGTTGTAGTGGTTTAGGTTGTAAATCTGAGTTAGGATGGGTCTGATGATGTGCCTGATAGGTCCTATTAGGGATTTTAGCAATAGTGTGGTTTTCTTATAGCCATAGGAATTTAGGAAGATGCCACGCCAGCTGAGTCCTGAACACAAGTAGCCAACTTTTGTTTTCTTAACCTGAGGATCCATCTTAGTCCATATAGGGGTATCTATTTTGGTCTCTCAGATCACAAATCTCAAAGTCATATTGATAGGCTTTACCTCCCCAAGCCTGCCTATATCACTAGTAGCCTGTGATATTGTGAAATACAGCCATCCCTTGGTGTCCCTGGGGGCTTAGTTCCAGGACCCCCTGCAGATACGAAAATCCATGAATGCTCAAGTCTCATATACAATGCTATAGTATTTGCATATAAGCTATGCACATCCTCCTGTATATTTTAAATCATCTCTAGATTACTTATAATAACTAACATGATGTAAATACTATGTAAATATTTGTTATACTGTATTATTTAGGAATTAATGACCAAAAAAAGTCCATACATGTAGTACATGTTCAGTACAGATGCAACCATCCTTTTTTTTTCCTCAAATACTTTCGGTCCAAAATCGGTTGAATCCACAGATATGGAACCCATAGATACTGAGGGCTGACTGCATATATTTTGGATTTGATCCGCAGTTCCTGGCTCAGAGGTCCTAAAACCTCTGTAACTCTTAAGTGACTACACCAATAGAAGTATCCTTTGTTAGAATATTTGGCCTTTTGTCCTGGATTGTAGAACAGCTCTGGAGTGATAAAGGAAAGAGGAGTGTCTTTTGTTATCCCTGACAAAACCAATGATGTTGTTAAAAGACTGGAACTTTCAACCCTACCTCCACCTCCAGGGAGAAAAGAAGGACTGAAAGGCGAGTTGATCACCAGTGGCCAATGATTTAATCAATCATGTCCGTGAAATGAAGCCTCCAGCAACCCAGAGGACTGGGTGTAGTGAGCTTCCAGGCCAGGGAATATGGTTGTATCCCCTCTGGGACAGAAGCTCTCGTACTCATGATTCATCCAGACCTCACCCTATGTATGTATTGATCTCGCTGTTCATTTGTAGCCTTTAAAATAGCCTTCTGGACCAATTAGTAATTGGTGAATAAATTATCTATTTTATCCTTGAAAATCAAGCTGCGTCATGACTTCAGATATTTGGTAATATACGGGTAGATATAAGTAAAGTACTGGTAATATATGAGTAGACATAAGTAAAGTATTTCCCCGAACTCTAGTAAACATAGTAAGGGAAGCCTTCTAACTAGAGTTTACCAAATTTAAATATATACACAATTGGAGATTTTATTATGTATTACACGTAGACATAAATTTTTTTTCTTTTCATTTAAAATTATGCAACCTAATTTCAGGCCAAGAATTAGAAGATCCGGAAATCATAATATAATAAATGAATCTTAAGAATTAATTTAGCTGTCCATTTATGTTAGCATTAAAAGAGTTTGAGAAATTTAGAAGCAATATCATCTGGATATTGAGAAATAGAGCGATATCAGATGTGATATCTAGTAAAGTGTTTACTAAAGTTTTTTGAGGCACTCTAGTAAATTAGTTGAATTCCAGTAGGGGTGGTGGGATCTCTGATTTATAGCCAGTTGGTCAGAAGCACCGGTCATAATCTGAGGGTAGTGATTGGCATCTGAAGTGGGGAGAAGTCTTGTGGGACTGAGCCCTCAACTTGTGAAATCTGATGCTATCTTCAGGTAGATACTGTCAGAATTGAATTAAATTATAGGACACCCCACTGGTGTATGCTGCCAGAGAATTGCTTGGTGTGCTGGAAACACACACACACACACAGACACACACACACACACACACATGGTCATAGAAGCATTCTGTGCTGTGTGGTATGTGTGAGTAGAGAGAGGACAATTTGCTTTTTCCTGTATTTGAATGGGCCATACACAAAGACCTACAATGATTTATATTCTAGGACTTTCTGACCAAAACTACTGCAAAGATAAATAGGATTGGACCAAGTCAAGGATTCCTCCATCATGCTCTTTGTAGTTCTTCTGCAGTTCTTAATGTCTGGAACATTCTCATTGCCCATCACATTCCCTAATCTAATGCTGAATTCACAGATCTCATTAAACTTTTTTACAGGTTTTTAAAATGTGACATTCTTCTCTGAACACCTATAGTACTTTAATATCTTCATTTTTTTTAGGAGAGCGGAATTTATATTTATTTTATTTTATTAAGTTTTTAAAATTTATTATTTTTTTTTTTTTTGGAGATGGAGTTTCACTCTTGCTGCCCAGGCTGGAGTGCAATGGTGCGATCTTGGCTCACTGCAACCTTCACCTCCCGGGCTCAAGTGATTCTCCTGCCTCAGCCTCCCAAGTAGCTGGGATTACAGATACCCGCCACCATGCCCAGCTAATTTTTTTGTATTTTTTAGTAGAGATGGGGTTTCACCATGTTGGCCAGGCTGGTCTCGAACCCCTGACCTCAGGTGATCCGCCAGCCTCAGCCTCCCAAAGTGCTGGGATTACAGGCGTGAGCCACTGCACCCGGCCGAGAGTGGAATTTATTTTAAAAAATCTCCCAGTTAAAAAAGAAGGGGTCCTGCCAACAGGCTCCCACCTCACAGATTAAATACCAGGCCACCACACACAGGAGCTGAAAAGGCCAGGCTCCTCCCTTCTGCATAAGGCACAAATCCCCAGTGGCTCCGCCCCATTCTCCCAGTGTGCAGGTGGGCCCCCAGTCCATGGTGGGCATGTCCACAGAAAGCCTTAAGCAAGTTCCCTCATTCACAAAAGCATCTGATGAAAACACTTGCAGGGCGGGTCGGAAATTCTCCCGGGGCCCTCTCTTACCTGCCTCCTGCATCTATCAATATCATTTGCAGTAACATGGATGCTGCTGGAAGCCATTATGCTAAGTGAATTAATGCAGGAATAGAAAACCAAATACTGCATGTTCTCATGTATAAGTGGAAGCTAAACATTGGGTACACATGGACATAAAGATGGGAGTGACACACACTGGGGACTAATAGAGGCAGGAAGGGTGGAGGGGGCAAGGTTTGAAAAACTACCTATTGGGTACTATGCTCACTACCTGGGTGAAAAGATCATTTATAGCCCAATCCTCAGCATCACACAATATACCTAACAAAGCTGCACACATACCCTGAGTCTAAAAAAAAAGTCGAAATTAAAAAAAAAAAAAAGAGTATGCGCCTCTAATCCTAGCTATATGGGAGGCTGAGGGGGGAGGATCAGTTGAGGCCAGGGGTTTGAGACCAGCCTGGGCGACGTAGTGAGACTCTATCTCTACAAAAATTTAAAAATTGGGTGGCTGTGGTGGCGCTTGCCTGTGGTCCCAGGTACTCCGGAGGCTGAGGCGGGAGTCAGCCAGGAGTTCAAGGCTGCAGTGAGCCATAATTGCACTACTGCACTCCAGCCTGGGTGACAGGGCAAGACTCTGTCTCAAAAATATATATATAAATAAGATAAATAAATAAAATTTAATTTTTTTTTTTGAGACAGAGTCTCACTCTTTTGCCAGGCTGGAGTGCAGTGGCACAATCTCAGCTCACAGCAACTTCCACCTCCCAGTTCAAGCAATTCTCCCGCCTCAGCCTCCTGAGTAGCTGGGACCACAGGTGCGCACCACCATGCCCAGCTAATTTATATATATATATATATATATATATATATATATATAATATATAAATATATATGTATAATATATATAAATATATAAATATATAATATAATAAATATATAATATATATAATTATATATATATAATAAGTTCTAGGGTACATGTGCACAACGTGCAGGTTTGTTACATATGTATACATGTGCCATGTTGGTGTGCTGCACCCATTAACTCGTCATTTACATTAGGTATATCTCCTAATGCTATCCCTTCCCCCTCCCCCACCCCACAACAGGCCCTGGTGTGTGATGTTCCCCTTCCTGTGTCCAAGTGTTCTCATTATTCAATTCCCACCTATGAGTGAGAACATGAGGTGTTTGGTTTTTTGTCCTTGTGATAGTTTGCTGAGAATGATGGTTTCCAGCTTCACCCATGTCCCTACAAAGGACATGAACTCATCATTTTTTATGGCTGCATAGTATTCCGTGGTGTATATGTGCCACATTTTCTTAATCCAGTCTATCATTGTTGGACATTTGTGTTGGTTCCAAGTCTTTGCTATTGTGAATAGTGCTGCAATAAACATATGTGTGCATGTGTCTTTATAGCAGCATGATTTATAATCCTTTGGGTATATACCCAGTAATGGGATGGCTGGGTCAAATGGTATTTCTAGTTCTAGATACCTGATGAAACACCACACTGTCTTCCACTATGGTTGAACTAGTTCACAGTTCCACCAACAGTGTAAAAGTTTTCCTATTTCTCCACATCCTCTCCAGCACCTGTTGTTTCCTGACTTTTTAATGATCACCATTCTAACTGGTGTGAGATGGTATCTCATTGTGGTTTTGATTTGCATTTCTCTGATGGCCAGTGATGGTGAGCATTTTTTCATGTGTCTTTTGGCTGCATAAATGTCTTCTTTTGAGAAGTGTCTGTTCATATCCTTCGCCACTTTTTGATGGGGTTGTTTGTTTTTCTCTCGTAAATTTGTTTGAGTTCTTTGTAGATTCTGGATATTAGCCCTTTGTCAGATGAGTAGATTGCAAAAATTTTCTCCCATTCTGTAGGTTGCCTGTTCACTCTGATGGTAGTTTCTTTTGCTGTGCAGAAGCTCTTTAGTTTAATTAGATCTCATTTGTCAATTTTGGCTTTCGTTGCCATTGCTTTTTGTGTTTTAGACATGAAGTCCTTGCCCATGCCTATGTCCTGAATGGTATTGCCTAGGTTTTCTTCTAGGGTTTTTATGGTTTTAGGTCTAACATGTAAGTCTTTAATCCATCTTGAGTTAATTTTTGTATAAGGTGTAAGGAAGGGATCCAGTTTCAGCTTTCTACATATGGCTAGCCAGTTTTTTAGGGGCTTCCTGTGTTCTGCTAGTGTTATATTTCAGAAAGAGAAACATGCACAACTATAATTATAAGGTTTTAAAGAGAGATACTGAGACTCACCCATTTACTTTGTTATTTCCAACAGTTTTTAATCTTTGGTTGAATTAAAAATAAAAAGGCGCATGAACACAAACTACTAAATGTTAACTTTTAAAATTCATATATTTGTTTGGAAGATCAAGGCAAGTTCTCTGCAAGGAACACTGGGATGCTGACAAGTTACATTGATCTATTATAATGATCCTAGCTACTTGGATTGGCATGGCAGATTAAAGTTTCTTTGTAAATTGAGAGATCTGGGCTGGGCATGGTGGCTCACGCCTGTAACCCCAGCACTTTGGGAGGCCGAGGCGGGCGGATCTCTTGAGGTCAGGAGTTCAAGACCAGCCTGGCCAACATGGTGAAACCCCATCTCTACTAAAAATACAAAACTTAGCTGGTCATGGTGGCGGGTGCCTGTAATCTCAGCTACTCAGGAGGCTAAGGGAGGAGAATCACTTGAACCCGTGAGGCAGAGGTTGCAGTGAGCTGAGATCGCACCACTACACTCCAGCCAGGGCAACAGAGCAAGACTCTGTCTCAATTAAAAAAAAATAAAAATAAAAATAAATAAATAAATTGAGAGATCTGGAACAATGGGAACAGCACCACATCCTATATTACTTTCTTTTCCTCAGAAAATCTGCTACACATTGTGTATCTACTATGCATTTTCCCTTGGAAAATTGAGTTTTCCTCTCTCCTATTCATTCAACTCAATACAAATTTCCATGACTCAATCTAATTTATTACCCACCTCGTTTGGGTGAGCAAGAAAACTTTGGGAAAATTGTCTTTGCAATAAATTATGAATATTAGCAAGATACCAACCACAGAATTAGATATAACCTGAATCACATCTGATATGTATTTCTTAATATCTAGATAATATTGCTTCTAAATTTCTCAATTTTTTTTAATGCTACCATGAATGGACAGCTAAATTAATTCTTAAGATTTATTTATTATATTTGGATCTTCCAAATCTTTTTTTTTTTTTTTGAAATGGAATCTCACTTTGTTGCCCAGGCTGGAGTGCAGTGGCATGATCTCGGACCTCAGCTCACTACAACCTCCACCTCCCGGGTTCCAGCGATTCTCTTGCCTCAGCCCCTTGAGTAGCTGGGATGCTACCACGCCCATCTAATTTTTGTATTATATTTTATTATTATTATACTTTAAGTTTTAGGGTACATGTGCACAATGTGCAGGTTAGTTACATATGTATATATGTGCCATGCTGGTGTGCTGCACCCATTAACTCGTCATCTAGCATTAGGTATATCTCCTAATGCTATCCCTCCCCCCTCCCCCCACCTCACAACAGTCCCCAGAGTGTGATGTTCCCCTTCCTGTGTCCATGTGTTCTCATTGTTCAATTCCCACCTATGAGTGAGAACATGCGGTGTTTGGTTTTTTAGACTGGGTTTCACCATGTTGGCCAGGCTGGTCTCTAACTTCTGACCTCAAATGATCCACCCATCTTGGCCTCCCAAAGTGCTGGGATTAGAGGCATGAGCCACTACGCCCGGCCTCCCAATTCTTGGTCTGAAATTACGTTTTATAATTTAAAATGAAAGGAAAAAATATTTTGTGTCAAAATCCCCAATTGCCTATTTAAATTTTGTAAACCCTGGTAAGAAGGCTTCCCTTACTATGTTTTCTACATGGCTTCAGAGATCAGAATGTAGGCTCCAAGAGCATGGTCTAGCAGGGCATATACAACGAGTTCTATATATTTTTTGTGGACCAATTAGTAATTGGTGAATAAATTATCTATTTTACCCTTGAAAATCAAGCTGCATCATGACTTCAGATATTTGGGTACTTTTGGTACTTGAGACGGATTATAGGGAAGAAGGTTCTTTACTATGCCAAATTCATAACTTTAATAGTAGCCTTTCCTTCCTCCCACGAGCCAGAAACTCTGCAACTCTGTCACACACACAATGTTACTTCATCTCAAATCTTCCTGGGTTATTGATCAGTTTCTGCATGAGAAATGGAGTTCCCGTAAGGAAAAATAACTCGCCCAATGTTACTCAGAAAGTTAACTGCAAGCATGATATTGAAACTGAAAGCTCTATCCACCTTAGCACACTACCTCCATTCCAAGCTACAACAAGCTGTATTCTAGCCTATCTTACTCTCTAGAGTTATTCCTAATAATTCCCTTCCTCATGGCCACGTAGTGTTGTATCTCTCAGTCAATACTACTGTGCTAGAGTCTCCTTATACTTTATTCCATCAATATATTTTTTATTAGACACCTTCCTAAAGAGCTCTCAAATTCATCCACTCATCTTTGCTTTAATTATAGCTGTCATCTTATTCCAAACTACCATTAATTTTATCCAGAAGAATGCAATGACTTTTTTTTTCTTTCCCCAGACGGAGGAGTCTTGCTCTGCCACCCAGGCTGGAGTGCAGTGGCGCGATCTCAGCTCACTGCAACCTCTGCCTCCTGGGTTCAAGCGATTCTCCTGCCTCAGCCTTTTGTGTAGCCGGGACCTCTTTATTGGTTTTATCAAAGACCTCTGGACCATCTCCAATATTTTCACATCACCCTGCCTACCCTCTTCCTCATTGGCATTAACCCATCTGTGGATTCCCATTGCTCTGAAAAGAAAAAATATATATATTTACGAGACCTACAAGGCCACTGCAAGCTTCGTCCTGTCTAACCCTCAAATCTAACCTCACATCAGTTTGTACTTTGCTATTTGACTTAATTTTTTAAAGTATTTATTTCTTAATAATTCATATTACATAACATATTTGGGGGTATGTACCACTGACTTTATATTCAACATGATTCCAATGCTCAGGCCCTGGAATTAGTCTGAGTATAAATCCTACTTTGGCTTACCTGGTGTGGGGGTTTGTCATCTTCAATTCCTTCTTTTTCTTCAATTTTATTATTATAAAGTGGGTGCTAATCATAGTAACTATCTCATAAGGCATTTGTGAGAACTAAATAAAATAATATAGGAAAAATGATTAATGCACTCAAGCACTGTATCTTTTATGTTTATTTAATTAATGTTCACCCCCTTCATGGAGTTGAGATTTTTAAGGTAAATGACAGCACACATTATGTCTGGTGTTCATTACCATGTATCACAAGTGCTTAGGATAGAGCTGACATAGTATCTTGATAAATGCTTATTAAATGAGAGAATAAATGACTGGATTTAAGTTTTACAGCAAAACTGGTAAGATTGTCTGAGCTGAGCCCCTTCATCTGCCAAGTATATGCCTCGCATTTTTTGAAGACCCAGCGTGTAGCTTATTGCCTCTTTGAAATCTTTCTGTGTTCTCTGGGGTATTGAAGAACTCCTACTGAGATAACTCCACCTACCTTATGCAAAATTCTATAATTACCTTTGTAACACTTCGTATGTTAAATATTTTTACAGCTATTTCTCTTGAGATCAGAGTATTCAGGTCAAATGATGAATTAGAGAAAGTTTCTTCTCTCTAAAAATTTACAAAGTAGTCAGGGAAGACAACTGTTTATTAATTCATTCATCCAGTGAAGTAGTAGGGATACTATGGTGTTTATTGTACTGGAAGAAAAAAGAACAGAAAAATTAACAAGTAAGTGTAATGATGGAGATAGATAAGGGATAAGTGACTTGTATAAAGAATAACAGAAAAGGATTTTCTTTAGGTTAGAATAACTTTAATGAAGCAATGATATTTAGCTGGAACTCATTGACAGGAATAAGGAGCCAGAGAGAGAAGTAAAGATATGATTGTGGTCTCAAAGCATAGCAAGAGACTGGCCCACTGAGGACACCTGATGCTTGCTGTCAGAATGAAAGAAGTAAGATATGGTGGGGACAGGGAGTAAGGCATAAAGAAAAGCAGCAAAGCATTTTTAGCATGATTTTAACTTTTCTCAATTTTCCCCAAAATCTAAAGGTAACTATTACTTAGTACTGAATTCAAATTTTTATCCTTCCATGAACATATTTTGAAATATATGTTGATGGAACATATATTTCAATATATGAATATTGAAATATTCATATGATATATGGATGATGAGTATTTGTCTCCCTGAACATCTGCATCACTTATTGGTAACACAATAACTTCGCAACTCTGGAACAAGAGATTCAGTGTGAATCAAAAATGTGTTTATTGTAGTTAACCCCTTAGTTTTGTGATTTCTTGTGAAAGTATTGCAACTGGCCAGGCACGGTGGCTCATGCCTGTAATCCCAGCGTTTTGGGAGGCCGACGGGGGGGTCAGATCACTTGAGATCAGGAGTTCGAGACCAGCCTGGGTAACATGGCGAAACCCCATCTCTACTAAAAATACAAAAAATTAGCTGAGTGTGGTGGCGTGCGCCTGTAATTCCAGCTACTCAGGAGGCTGAGGCACGAGAGTCGCTTGAACCCAGGAGGCAGAGGCTGCAGTGAGCTGAGATGGCAGCACTGCACTCCAGACTACAGCCTGGGCAACAGAGGGAGACTCCTTCTCAAAACAAACAAACAAACAAACAAACAAACAAACAAAAAACCCACCAAAACCAAAAATGTATTGCAACTGTTGAAAGAGTTGATCCCATTTAAGTATTTTCTATTTGTAAGTTCAGAATATAAAAAGAGTTAACTAGACCAAGCCCCTGTCAACTTATTACTGCATGGCTCTCAGCTGCCTTTTATCACCACATTTTCCCTTCACCATGCTTGATCAATTTGAAGATTGACACAGAACGTGTTTCGGTGATCTGCTTTAGCATCTTTACTTTATTTTGGTGTCAATCAATCCACCAACAGTTGGATCTCAAAAATGACTGTTTAGTTTATTGAAATTATAATTTTTTAATTTCTTATCCATAGTCAGAGATTCCTCAAGACTTTTGGATTTTTTTCCTCTCTTCCAAAGACTAGTGCCACTATTTTAAATCCCGGCTTTTTCTTTTTTCTAGATAGCTAGGAATTAAACCGCAAGACGTTTTTTATTTTAATAATGAAAAGTTACATTTGGATCAGTAGTCTAAATACTATGAAGATGCCAATTCTCTGAAAATTTATCTGCAGATCCTACCAGAATTTTCTTCATAGGTATCAATAAGCTCATCATAAAATTCATACAGGAAGGCAAAGAAACTCAAAGGGCCAAAACAAACTTGAAAAGAATATTGAAGCAGGAAAGGTCAAATAACTGATTTCAAGGCTTACTATAAAGTTACAGAAATTAAGCAGTATAGGATTGGCCAAATAATAAGTATATATAGACCCGTAGAATAGAATAAAGATCTGTAGAGATTAACACGTACAAATCTAGTCAACTGAATTTTGACAATAAAGAATCACATATTGCATGTTTTTTAATATTAAGTTCCAGAACAGGCAAATTTAATCTGTGGGGGAAAAATCAAAATAATGGTTTCTTCTGTAGCCATGGGAGTGATGATTGACTTGGAAGGAACATGAGAAACACTCTTAGACAATGTTA
The DNA here is from genome assembly GCF_000001405.40 of Homo sapiens. Lineage (NCBI taxonomy): Eukaryota > Metazoa > Chordata > Mammalia > Primates > Hominidae > Homo > Homo sapiens. Next base: position 59,877,023 of record NC_000016.10, read on the forward strand.
AGGTTCTATTTTTTGATAAGAGGTTGGGCTACACAGGTGGATGCATGTCAAAATTCAGTAAATGTGTAATAACTGTAAATTTCATTGTATTTAAATTTTACAACAAATAAAAATAACTGTAAACTCAAAAAGAGCAATATATTTTAAACAACTGTCAAAATTGTCTAAGATGAAAATTTGCAAGAACAAAGTATTGCTAAACACACAGGCAAAATTTACAATGATTTCTTGAAATAGAGACCTCCTTACTTAGATGTTATTGATATCTCTAATAGATTTTTTTTTCAGTTAGAAATTTCACAAAAAGAATGGGATGTGGAGAAAATATTGAAGCAGACCTCTAGAATATCAACAAAGAGATAAAAGGGATAGGAAATAGTCCTAGTGAAGAAAGATAAAAGGATCTTGGGTCATTTTGTGTAATTTTCAGAACAGAAGTTGAGAAATTGCTTAATGGCCATCTTCCCCATTTATAAAGGTAATGTATTGTGTTCATAGAGACCCATGGAACTACTGGGAATTTCGAGTTCATTTAATCCAGCCTCCTTTATTACAAGTGACCACACTGATGTCCAGGGAGCAGATATGACTTGCTGAAAATCTTGCAGCTCATTAATGGTTGAGCTTGGCTACAGACTTTAGCATGATTGAGATTCCAGGTATCAAGCTAAAAGTGAGTACCGTGTCTGCAAATGTGAGAACTCAGGGAGGAAGTCTTAGAAAATGCTATTCTATTAATACAGACATATGCAGTCTACTGGTAGAATATTGTCCTCACAATGCTTCATTCATATATCTGTATTTCCAAAGTCCTTAATTGCTTCCTAACTGTCCTAAATAGATAATTCAAAGTTCCCATAAACCCACCTCCAGTTCTAGAGACAAGGGCTCTGATTGAAATAGGTGGGTTAATCATATCTTACTTGCCACAGTTTTTGGATCAGTTCATCCAAGCCTAAGCCAACTGCTACCATGGCTTCCTCTAGATATATTAGCTGATTTGAGTTGTGGTCCAATTACAAAGTCAGTCAACATTTTGCCTTAGAATCTTAAACATATTGATCTCATTTTGGACACCATGGGACACAAACAAGAAATATAGGATTTCTACAGCCACTTTTCTTGAAATGAAGGTTCTTTGAACACTCAGTTGAAAACACTGAAGTAAACTGAGCCAAGAAAATTACAATTAAAAAAAAAGTAAGGATAAATAAATCATAACCTTGACCAAATTATACCTAAACTCACTCTGGATATTTAAATTACATAATCCACTGAATTCTCTGTAATTTTTAATTGTCTTCCATGGGTTTTTTTTTTATATTTACAACCAAAGATATTCCGACTAATATCAGCCAGAAGAAATATTTCTTTTAAAGAATAGATTACTGAGTTATTTATTTTTAACAACTTAATTACTAAAGTAGATAAAGAAATATTTATTGTAAAATGCTAAGCACTTTTCATACATTATTGTGTTTAATTCTGACAGCAGCCTCTTGAAGTAAGCAATACTGTTATCTTCATTTTACAAATAGGAGAAATGTGGCAGGTAAAAAAGAATGCTTCCTATGGATCGTGCTTATGTTCACACAGCCAAAATGTGGCAGTGTTGGCATTCAGCCCAGATTAGTTTGATTCTAGGACCATGACTAAGCACCTCTGCGTAACACATGCATTGATTTGAGGTGTGTAGGATACAAAGCAGTTATTTATTGACTTACTGATATATATAAGAGGCAGAAGACAGGGTCAACCCTTAAAGTCCCACGGAAGTCTTGGAGTCTACAAGTTTCTGGGACACCATCATTTCACAGAAGAAGAGGAGGGGAGGAGAGAGAAGGAAGCAAAGAAAACAAAACAACACTCTGTTTTTCCTATCTCCTTTGCTGGAAAGAAAGAAAGTTTTCCAGGCTTTAAAAGTACTGAGGACATGGTGGAGACATACATGTCTACTTAGGCTTGTGTTGTTCCTCATGTCAGGCTGCCCCGCGTTTACTCCAACTTCATCTATTGTCATCTGCGCACTCGGGGATGCACTCTCCTATTGAGAAGCGCAGAGAGCTTCCGCTCCAGACACAGCTGTTTGGAGAACAAAATGCCTGCTCTTCCCATAATGCCTTGCCAACAGATGGGACCTCATGAGGAATTCATGATGAAATCCAAAAATGTGACACCAAGGAAACATCTACCCATAGATGATTCACAGTAACAGAATGCCAGTAAATCAGTGCACCTTGCTTCCTGCGACTTCAACCATCTGAGACTTCTGTAGCTTCAAGACTGAGTCTTTAATGGCTGAGTATGGTCAAGCACAGGTGTTTCAGGAGTTTAATAACCATAACAAAAAAAATTACAAAGTTAACTGTTAACCACTATTTTAATTGAAAAAACATGTAAGGGTTACTTAAAATAAGGTAGAATTAGCACTGTTTTAATATTGGATTTTAATTTCCAACATTCTTCTTTAAATGTACTTCAATAAGGATCCCATTCTTTTCTTTCGTTTCTTTTCTTTTTCTTCTGGCAAAGTCCTGAAAGTTTTTTTTTTTTTTTTCTTTTAGAGACAGAGTCTTGCTCTGTTGCTCAGGCCGGAGTGCAGTGGCAAGATCCTGGCTCACTGCAAGCTCCGCCTCCCGGGTTCATGTCATTCTCCTGCCTCAGCCTCCCCAGTAGCTGGGACTACAGGCGCCCACCACCATGCCTGGCTAATTTTTTGTATTTTTAGTAGAGATGGGGTTTCACTGTGTTTGCCAGGATGGTCTCGATCTCCTGACCTCGTGATCCGCCTGCCTCGGCCTCCCAAAGTGCTGGGATTACAGGCGTGAGCCACCGTGCCCGGCCAGTCCTGAAAGTTTTTATTGACTCTATACACTGGAGTACTTGTATACTGGACGCTTTTAAGAACTCGCCTATTTAAATAGACTCTCTGTTGCTGCACTAAAGTTTGCCCATGCTATATATGTATCTACTATCTGTAAGGAGTAATGGTTTTGTCTCCTCTTTTTCAAATTTTGTTCTTTTTATTTTGGTTTGCTTTTGTTTCTGCTAAGTATATTGAATGCAACCTCCAGAACAATGTTTAATAATAGTACCATTAAATTTTAGTCATGCTTCTGATTTTAATTAGACTACCTTTACTATTACACTATAAAGGTAATATTGGTTGTTGTTTTGAAAGAGATTATTTCTTTTTTAAGAAACTATATCCCTATGACTATTTTACTAGATCATTATTATTTTAACGAAGCTACAAGTTGATGTTTATACATTTTAGATTTTTTTTTTTTTAAATGGTAGGAAGAGAATTGTCAAGTTACCTGTTTGGTACAGACCCAAGACTTGAGTGAGGGGATGGAGAGTTGAGGTAGAAAGTACTGTATCTTTCTACGTTTTAATATCTGAGCAGTCTTTGTTGCATAAGCCATAGTACCCCTTCTCCATAGTCTATCAATAGGTGCCTTTTAAACATTCATTCTGGAATGTAGTTATATATTTGTCAAACTTAGTTTATTGTTGTGATGTGATTTTTATTGTTTTTCCATGTCTTCATAGACATTTTTTAAGGGACACTGTAAAAGGCTACATCAAAACCTGATGTGGACATGAAATCTCAGGCCTCAAACCTGGTCATTTCTCAGCCAGTCATCACTTTCACAATACTCAATTCCTTTTAGAGGAAAAGAATCTATATGGTTTTAGAGATTAGGTTTCTGGCCTGGAATGCCTGCTAGTTTCCTACTTACTATGCTAAATGTCCAAAATGCTTGTTCATTCATGCATTGAAGTGAAAAAACTGCTCAGTAGCTTTGGGATGGTGTTCTAGTCTCTCTTGTTTTCTGAAAGACAAACAATAAGTTACAGAGATATCTTATAAACCACCCTTTGCTTGCCTTGAGGCATTTATTGAGTCAATGAATATTTTCCCGTGCCATCTGAGCACCAGGCATTTTGCTGGGCACCAAGGATACAAGACTGAGTAAAGAGGACATAGCCTCTGCCCTAATACAGACTAAAGAGTAAACAACTCAGCTAGGAAATAAATACGTTTCTCTGCTCTTGTCTGTACTAACCAACAATGGTAAGTACTCTAAAAGGAAAGAACTGTGCTCAGAATTATAGAAAGACAAGGATATGTATCCATTAGTCAAGTTATCATGGGAAGCAAATGGCACACTCAATTGGAATCAATAAAAGGGAATGTGAAAGGGAATGATAAGAAGACCATTTCCAAAGATGTGGGCAGGGTGGAGGAAACTACAGAGGACCATGCAGAATCCTGAAATCAGAAACAACTGCAGGTTTGGAAGGGTGAGGGAAGGAATGGTTTTCAAGACCCAGTGACAGAGAAGCCCAGGTGAAAGGGCCGCCTGAAAGAACACAGCTACCCTCCCGCACATGGGAAAGCCCAGACCATAAAATCCATGCCTTCCCTTGTGTCTTCCTCTCTGCCCTTCTTCTGGTGCTCATCGTGGACTGGATTCATTAGGAAGCACAGGGCCAGAGTGTCTTTGCCTATCACACACTCTTGTCAGCTCCCTTTGGAATGCAGCAGGGTGTGAAAGGGTGGGGAGTGGATCTGGAAGAAGAATGGAAGGATCCAAAACATAAGGAAGTGACCTAATCTGAGGACTAAGAGAAGTTTGTAAAGTCAGAAAGTGCTTGATGAGAATGCAGAACTGATGGTGACACTGATACTCAGTGACAGCATTGCTTTGAGGAAGTCACTTATTCTTCCCCTAACCCAATGCCATATCAGAAAGTTAATAATGATAATATGTACTGTTTGGGCTTACTATGAGGATGAAAAGAAAAAAATGATGTAAAGCCCTTTGAGTTGTACCTGGTCCATACAAAAAGCTACATGCTAAATGTTATCATGAATATTAGTTTATTTTCTGCTATAATTGTTCACAGTAGTCAGAAATGTCTCTGCAATTTCCTGGACAGAAGAGTAGTAAGTCAAACTGGCACACTTGAAATTAATTGGATGAAAGAAGTAGATGCTGCTGCTAAAAGAAAAGTAAACCATATTGCACTTTTGTAAATTAGTAGTTCTGCCAATGCCTGGCCAGGAGAATTGTGAAGTTCTAAAGAGATAATTCATTATTTAAAACAGAGCAAATATAGCTACAACCTAAAAGCAGTTGCAGGTTGACCTAGAAGGAAGGATTTCTGGAAGACAGCTGAAATATTTGGGGTTTTCACTATATCCGGGCTCTTATGATGCATACTTTAATTCTCACAACACACAAGAATCATGCAAGATGTATGTTTATGTATGCATGTATCTGTATATATGCACAAAAACACATGTAATATACAAGGCACGACCAACTTTTCTTGCCACTATCCTACCCCCTCAATCTTCGAGAGACTTAGGAGACCAAAAAGGGGAGGTTCTCTAGGCAGAGAAGAGTGTTAACACTTAGCTATGCATTTGGTATGGCTTGATGCTTTTTAAACTCTAAACGGTAGATGATTGAAGTTTCCTCTAAAATCGCTTTTGGCTTCAAAGATGATTACTTGTATAAATTATTTTTTAATGGAAGAGGGTGGGAAGAGTGGATGGGGATAACTAATGCAGGCTTCTTTTCATACCAATTTTCTATCTCAAAGTAAAATTTAATTTAAGTTCTTGAGGCCTTCAGTGTTAATGAGTATTTATTCCTCTTTTTCTTATTAAAAAAAAGATGAGCATTTTTAGCATGATTAAAGTTGATGACAATCTCATTTCCATAATTACAATGTATAGCTTTATAAAAATGTAACCCAAATAATGTTCTTTGTGCGTGTGGAGTGTGTGCATTTTCTTTTTCAGGAGAAAAGTGGAGAAAAGAAATGGAGATTTGTTTGAAAGGGAGAGGTTTTCATTTCCCGATATTTTCCCATTGGAGATCAGGTGTTGGTAGATGGTTCACGTGGTGACATTCTGTCTTCTAACCCTCAGCATCCTCATCTCCTGTACAGAGATGATCATACCTAGGTGGCAAGGTTGTTATGAGGACCCAATAAGATAATGAGAGGAAAGAGGAATTTTAACAGGAACAGAGTCAGAGTAATATTTAGTATGATATTTATAATTCTCAAAAAATGATGCAGTGGTTGAGTTCAGGCACTGAGACAGAAAGGGCTTAGGTTTGAATCTGAACTCTGGCTCCATTAGCTCATTAGTTTGAGAGCAAGGTGCACGACCTCTGTAACCATTTATTCCTTAATCCGTAAAATGGGGTAACAGTGGATCCTACCTCAGGGTATTGCAGTGGGTCAATGTAGTAAAATGCTTCAATCACAGTGCCTGACACATCATAAGGACCCAATAAATGTGTCTATTGTTATTGATAATATTGTAGTTGCTGTTATTATTGAATAAGGCAATTTAAGAGAGAAATATTTGAATCTATGTTCTTTTTGTTGTTGTTGTTCTTTCAGTCTCAATTTTCTAGAACACTAAGTTTCCACTGAGGACAGCACCTAAGTGAAGTGAAAAAGAGCAGCTAGGTTAGATCTTGCCATATTATTCTTTCCAGTACCTTCAATGACTGGGTTTAAAATTGTGATGTAAATGTAACAAAAAAAGTTACTAAGCATGACATCCAATATAAAATGTAGCCCATTAGAATAAGCATATGGATAAAATATTTCCTGTGGGTAATCTGGTTTTACCATCAGCTTTGCCGATGTGTGCCACATAGTTCCTCACTAAAATAAGTCTGAATGAAACATTTGGGTCCCTCTGGCAAAGTTGTAGCTTTTGTATCTGAAATATTAGATAATCGAATTCAAAATTATCTCTAGCATCCTATTTCAATTCCACAAACATGATGAAATATACAGTGTAGCATCAAGTGACACAGACCGCATCTCAGCCCATACCTCTCTGATTCAAATACCTTCACATTTTCACTTGAAAATTCAGGTCTCCTGACTTCCAAGGCTGCATAGAGTAATGGATATAAGCATGAGCTTTCCAGTCATATAAATGTGGGCTTGAGTCTCTTCTTTCTCGTCTACTGGCTGTGTGACCTTGAATTAGTTATTTAACCTGATTGTCTTCATCTGTAAGACTAGGATAATGGCTCCAATATCACAGGCTGTTGCAAGGATTAAATTGACAATCATGAGTGTCAAGTCCTTTCTACATAATAAGTATCAATAAATGGTGTTTTTTATCTTTTCTAAGCCTTGGCTGTGCTAAGTTCAAATATGGTGTGGTGGTGAGTGATTAAACTTCACTCAGAATTTTCCATCACTGACATTCTAAAAGTCAATTTATAAAATATATATATATATATATACACACACATATATGTGCTGAAAGCATGTTCTATGCCAGCTTTATTTTTATTATTTACCCACGTGTGAGTCAGCTTTTGAATCAAGTGGTTAATAATTTGAATGGAGTTAGTGGAATCCTGATATTGATTACTCAATGCTACATTTTTATCATTTCTGACAAATGGGAATTTTTAAGATAACCTTGGTAATTTATCTTTAAAAATTTGACATACAGTCCCTTGAGACAAATTCATTCAATTTACACAAGCCTATTGGAAGAGCTAAGCATTTGCTGTCATTTTTCTTAATGAAAAGTCGAACTGCAAACCATCAAAGTTACCAGGAAAACATGATTTTATAAATGAAGGATTTTTAATTCCCTAATATCCTGAAGGTGATTTTGTAATGGCTGCATTGTTCTGGAAATCTTTGTTTTCTTGCATGTTGTATTTAATTTTTCCAATCAAAATTACCACCCCTGATCATATGAGTATATATGAAGGGCCTATGGCTGTTGGTATGACATAAAAGCTTTAGTTCATTTATATAAAGTCATCATGTCATTAAACACATATTTCACATATGGAAGTCATTCTGTTGCCACAGCTCTCTAAGTTAAAATTTTAGCATAAACTGGTGGAATATTGCATTTTCAAAAGCGTATTACATAGCACCTTTAGTAACTTGCAAAGGTTTTTTTTTTCCACATACATTCACTGCCTTAGTCTATTTGGGCTGCTATAATAAAATACCATAAAATTGATTAGCTTATTCATGATGGATATTTATTTCTTATAGTTCTGGAAGTGAGAAACTCCAAGATCAAGAGACTAGCAGATTCGGTATGTGGTGAGGGGTGTTTCCTGCCTCATAGATGGTGTCTTCTAGCTGTGTCCTCATGTGGTGCAAATCACAAGGCAATTTTCTAAGACGTCTTTTATAAGGACAGTAATGCCATTCATGACCCACCCTTATGATCAAATCACCTGCCTAAGGCTTCACCTTCTAAGGCCATTACACTGGGGATTAGGTTTTGAACATATAAATTTTGGGGAGACACAGCCATTCAGACCACAGCATTTACCATATTTTTTCTCCCAAAATTTCTACAGGAAAGATAAGGCAGTTATTTCCATTTAATCAGTGGGAAAAATTGTAACTGATGCAAAGCCACATGGTTAATAAAGAGTAGAGCACAGTCTGCAGCCCAAGTTTTTTGGTGTATTTTGTTCAGTGTCATTTCCACCTAAATTACAAATAACTCCTTCTGAGTTCATTCCTTTATCTTTGTATATTTGTTCAGATGTAACAGTGGATCCAATGCAAAATGAATTAACCGTATAAGAAAAAATACGATCATATCTTACAACAAGAAGTCCTAACATAAGTAAGCTAGTTAGAGGTTTGATAACCTAGTTAGAGGTTTGATGTTGACATGAAGGATCCGTCTCCATCTTCTGCCCTGCTGTGCTCTAGCAACGAATATGTTCCTCAGGCTAGTCCCCCTAATTGTCAAAAGATGGCTAGCAGAGATGTAAGGAAAAACTTGCTTCATTGAAAGGAATGGCTGAATTTGAAAGCAAATTACACAGAGAAATTATTGTAAATAGCATCAATACAATCCAGTCAACACTGAAAGCTTAAATTCAGCCATTACTGGGATGATTTAATTAAGTAAAGTTCCTTGTGCAGGCAGATTTTAAAATGACATAACCTGATTTCTGAAACCCATAAAAATCTAAGAAGCCAAAGACAATTATTTTTTCATTTATTCACATCGTAAAAACAGATGCAGTAAATGGTTGGGGCCATCTGAAGATATTTTACAAGCGGTTCCATCTGCTTGCTGGCATTCTACCCAAGCAGTGTGGGTGGTTCTGAGCTCTGAGTCATTTCTGTCAAACAGTTGCATAACTTGGCAGGAGATGGAACCATTTTCTTTCCTTTCTTTCTTCCTTTATTTTTTATGTCCTGGAGTGGATAGAAGCAGGTCATTTATTTTGTTTTGTTCCACTTCTAAGACAAAGGGGGAAAAAAAGTTCTTTTTTTATGTACTTGTTCAATGTTTCATAGTGCCTTGGCTGGTAATTTCCTAGAAGGGTGGTGTTAGGTGTCCCTTGAGGGTGAAATAGAAGCTGTCATCTATTGCTTGCTTGCCAGCATAAATCTTTTCACTGGCTATGCCCATCTACTTATATACATCTTCCACTTGCTCTGCCCCTGGTGTATTAGAAGTAAAATATGTGCTGAAATTCATCAACATAAAAAATTACATAAGTTCTTATCTGATATTTACATTCTTCCTGTTCAAAAAAAACTTCATATGTCAAATTTCACCCAGATAGTGGTTCGCGACACTATATAGTATGAGGACATGAGAAACAGGCATGAATTCAGGCTTAGGCAAAAGTAGGAGCTTAAGTGAATCCTTTTTTAGGTGGTCTTATACAATAATTTTTAATTGCTTCATTCATTTCATTTTCCTCTCATCAAGACGTGAAGGAGTAAGTTAGAGAAGATTTTACACTTTCTACACGGCAAGTAGATATGCGGATGCCTAGAACGTTAAGTGATTTGTCCAAGATAATAAATATTTGAATTGCAAGTGGATTCTGATTTTGAATGTATCCATAAAACACTCAGTATTGGTCAGAGAAAGTATGAATGAAGAATCTCACCGGAGAGTCTAGTCTAGAATCTCACATTGTTGTGATGTATGTGCAGATCCTTTTTCCAGGCTGAAACACACATTCTCCCAACTACCTGGAGTGTTGTCAGCTGATAGCTGAAATTTTCTCTGAGAATTTGTCCTCAGACCAAAAAAAAAAAAAAAAAAAAAAGTCCCCCTCTTCCATAGTCATGCTCTTTCCTTTGGGACGTTTCTCATCCACTGATTGTTCAATATGGGGGTGAAAATGCCTAGTTTCTTAACCTCAAGTCACGACGACTTTAATGAAAGTTTATCCCAACCCAAAGCTCCCCATGGAATCAGCTGATAGCTTTGTTGTCGATGCATTGAAATTAAATTCCTCCAGACCTCTGTCTGATCATACTTCCATCACTTTCTAATAATCTTTCTACATGCAAATCTTTTTACAATTTGTCTCCTGGGGGATCTAGCCTAAGGCAGGTAGTGTCAAGAAGAATGAAGATCTGACAAAGGATTTTGGTGTTAGACTAAATGGAGTATGCCCTATTGGCATACTATGGTTGTGCAATTTTAAAATTTTTCAGTCGTGGTAAAATGAATAAGGTATTGGTGAAAGAAAATATGCTGGCAAGGGTAATGTCTCTGGTATACGAGAAATTTTAGAGGAGGTAGTAAGTTATAGGACAATGGAATTAGATGAATAACAGCTAACTGTAAAGTCAGCAGGCACTGTTAATGTCATATGGAGAAACTCTTATCTCATGCAATCAAAAAGCAGAAAATAATTCAGGTCTGGCCTAGGACTTAATGAATGGCAGAATTTTAGAACAGGTTGAATTCTTCATCTTAGAAAATAGATTTTGCCAAAATCAGACTCTTGATTTGGAAAGACTAGGATCTTCTGAAAATATGAAATGGAAATATCTTGGTGGATGTATCCAAATGTCTCGAATCTCCAAATGCCTTACTATGCTCTGGGCTTACAGAAGTGGGCCACTGTGACCTGTTAAGGAAAGTATTCCAGTCTTCCTTGACAAAAATATAGAGAACTTTGCCTGCAGGACCATGAAAAGAATACATCTTGGAATGTACCTCCAATTCCATTTTGACCACCAGACCAATGAGTCAGGTCAAGTCATAATACAATTTGGCAAGGGAAGTGCTGGGCATGAAAGGAGAAAAAAGAACATACCCAAAGAGGGGTGCAGGACCTAGCCAAAATGTACCCGAGGAAAACCAGATTTTGTATGGAAGGATCTTGATGATGCTGCAATTGAGGGGGTCATAAAGTTGCATAAGAGGAGGTTTAGTATCCCATGATACATACTTTAACATCCAGGCAAGGACTCTGAGGGCCAGTGATAGTATACCTTTAGGATGGTTCTTGGAAACTTGGATAAAAGACTGCCTCATGCTAAATGACATAAAAATGCCAGGATTTCCATGTTAGACAATGGAAGAAGGGACCAAACGGCTCAGTGAGGTGGGCATGATAGAGCTGACATACTAGGTAAGCTAGTGGTGTCCATAAGAAGTCTGTGCGCCCTAGGAGCTTAGCAGTAAGGGATGTAATAGTGAGAGAGCATTGGCATTGTTGTGAAAGTCAAAGATGGTTGTGTTTTATAGACCAAAACCAATGGTAGGAAATGTTTTTAGGGAATTGGGCTAATTGATAGCAATGCAGTGATAGGATCTTAAAATAACAGTGACAAGGTCGTAGTGTTTAACTGTCAGATAAATGGCAAGGTCAAAGTGGCAGTCAGGAGGAGTTACTTGAGGAGATCAGTGGAGTTGGTTAATAGAAAATAATATTCTTAAGGGCAAGATAGATGGGCAGCTAACAAGGCTATATCTTGAACAATATAATGGAAAGAAATTATTAAAAAACGGTTGATTAAGAGGCAAAGTGCAACTACACAAATTAAAAAAGCGTTATCCCTTGACTAGTTTCTGATCCTGAGCCAGTGCTTAGGCCTAGAACCCATTGATCAAAAAAAGAGGTTGAATGTACAGGACTATGGAAATTGCATTCAGTAATAATCTTTATCCTTCCACAACAAAACCTAAAGCCCTTTTCTAGAATTATTATAAATTTGGTCAAAGAAAATTCCCAAACATTTCAAAAACTGAAGGATACAGGGTCTAAAATGCTCTCTATCATGACTACAGTGGAAGACGCATGATTCTGTACTTGTCAAAAACCATAGAATTATGTCTCACAAAAAAATGAAATAAATCAAATAAAAACAGATCAACAAGGAAATTGGGGGAAGGGTATTTCAATTGGATACTGTAAGGCTAAAGGCAAACTGTACATAAACACTGCCCTGTAGTTAGTAAAGTTATTTCTCTCAAGGGTATGGGCTAGCAATTTTAACTATTTTATGTATATTTAAATGTTGAACAAATAATTAAATATATTATTTATAATGAGAACCAAGTTTCTCATGTTGATAAAGAACTTGCAAATAAAGAAAAAAAAATGGCTGAAATAAAACGTGTTTGATTGAAATTGAAAGTATCAGTATGAACTTATGGTTTCAGAAATATATAGAGAATAGGAGGATGATTACCAGAGTCTGGGAAGAGTAGTGGTTGGGGGAGTGCTGTGGGGGAAGGTGGAGATGGTTAATGAGTGCAAATATAGTTAGAAAAAATAAGACCTAGTATTTTATAGCACAACAGGGGGATTATATTCAATAATAATTTAATTGTACATTTAAAAATAACTAAAAGAGTATAATCAGCTTGTTTATAACACAAAGGATACATGCTTGAGGGGATGGATACCTAATTTTCCATAATATGATTATTACACATTGCATGCCTGTACCAAAATATCTCATGTACTTCATAAATACATACACCACAATGTACCCACAAAAATAAAAAATAAAAAAAGAAAGAAATACATACAGATAAAAAATGTTGACTGTTGCATTTGCTGTGCAGAAACTATTTAATTTGATGTAGTCCTTCTTGTTTATTTTTGCTTTTGTTGTCATTGCTTTTGGTGTCATATCCAAAAAATAATTGCAAAGACCAATGTTAAGGAACAAAAGCTCCCTATGTTTTCTTCTATGAGTTTTAAAGTTCCAAGTCTTACATTTAAATCTTTAGTTCATTTCTAGTTAATGTTTGTCCATAGGTATAAGGTAGGTTTCCATTTCATTCATTTGCATATATATATCCACTTTTGCCAACACCATTTATTAAAGAGAACTTTCTTTTTCCATTGTGTATTATTTGTGCCCTTATCAAAAATTAGTTGACTGTATATGCATGGATTTATTTCTGTGCTGTCTATTCTGCGTCATTCATCCATGTGTCTAATTTTATGCCAATACCATACTGTTTAGATTACCATAGCTTTGAAATATATTTGAAATCAGGAAGTGGGATGCCCCCAACTTTGTCCTTCTTTCTCAAGATTACTTTGATTATTTGGGGTTATTTCTAGTTCTATATGAATTTCAGTACTTTTTTTATTTCTGTAAAAAGTGCCATTGGAATACTTATAAGGATTATGTTGAATCATTAGATCACGTTGGATAGTGTGATGGTTAATATTGACTGTCAACTTGATTGGATTGAAGGATGCAAAGTATTGTTCCTGAGTGTGTCTGTGAGGGGTGTTGCCAAAGGAAATTAACATTTGCATCAGTGGACTTGGAGGGGCAGATACACCCTCAATCTGGGTGGACACCATCTAATCAGCTGCCAGCGCAGCTAGAATAAAGCAGGCAGAAGAAGGTGGAAAAGAGCAGGCTTGCTGGGTCTTCTGGTCTTCATCCTTCTCCTGTGCTGTATGCTTCCGGCCTTCAAACATCTTCAACTCTTAGACTCTTGAACTTACCCCATTGGTTTGCCAGGGGCTCTCGGGCCTTTGGCCACAGACTGATGCTGCTCTGTCGACTTCTCTATTTTTGAGGTTTTGGGACTCAGGCTGGCTTCCTTGCTTCTCAGCGTAGATGACCTGTTCTGGGACTTCACCTTGTGATCATGTGAGTCCATACTCCTTAATAAAGTCCCCTTCATATATACATCTATCCTATTAGTTCCATCCCTCTAGAGAACCCTGACTAATACAGATAGTTTGGACATTTAAAACATTAATTTTTTCAATCCGTGACACATGATATTTTTCCATTTATTTGTGTCTTCTTCCATTTTTTTATAGTTTTTGCTTTATAGTTTTAGTGTACAGATCTTTTACCTCCTTTGTTAAATTTCTAATTATTTTATTCTTTTTGATGAATTTTAAATGGAATTGACTTTTTATTTCTTTTTCAAGTATTTCATTGTTGATATGAAGAGGAATTACTGATATTTGTGTATTTGTTTTGTACTCTGGAACTTTGCTGAATTTATTTTTTAATTTGAATCAATTTTTATGAAGTCTTAGTGGTTTCTACATATAGAAATATGTAATCTGCAACTGGAGGTAATTTTAATTTTTTCCTTCTGGTTTGTATATCTTTTATTTTTCTTTCTTGTCTAATTGCTCCTGCTAGGATGAGTACACTGTTTAATAAAAGTGGCAAGAACAGGCATTCTAGTATTGTAGTGAAGCATACAAGACAAACTTTCAGTTTTACTCCATTGATTATGATATGATGGCCTTCAGTGTGTTGAGATAAGTTTCTTCTCTACCTATTTTGGTGAAAGTTTTTATTATGAATAGATGTTGAATTTTATCAAATACTGTTTCTGCAACTATTGAGATGGTCATGTAATTTGTGTCTTTCATTCTGTTAATATGGTGTATTACACTGATTAATTTGAATATGTTGAAACAATATTGCATCCCAGGGATAAATATTACTTGGTCATGGTGCATAATATTTTCTGTTGTGCCGTTGAATTCAGTTTCCTCATATTTTATTGTGCATGTTTATATCTATGTTTTCTGTGGTGTCTTTGTTCAGCATTGTTATTCGTGTGATGTTGGCTTCAAAAAATGGCTTTGAAAATGTTCTCTTTTTTTCTGTTTTTTGGAAGAGTTTAACATGAATTGCTATTCGTTCTTTGAGTATTTAGTAGAATTCACCTATGAAAGTATTTGGCCTCGGGCTTCTCTTTGTTGGAAAGGTTCTGATTCCTGCTTCCTTATTGGTTTTGGTCGGCTCAGGCTTTCTGTTTCTTCTTGATTCACTCTTGGTAGGTTGCATATTTCTAAGAATGTATTCATTTTTCACAGGTTATCCAATTCATTGGCATATAATTTTTTGTAATAATCTCATGATCTTTTTTATTTCTGGGGCATCTATCGTATTGCATCTTCTTTCATTTCTGATTGTATTTGAGTCTTTTCTCTCTTTTAGTTAAGCTATAAGGGTCCCTCGATTTTAGATACAGGGTCTTGCTGTGTTGCCCAGGCTGGTGTGCAGTGGCATGATCATAGAACATAGTTTACTACAACTTCGAACTGCTGGGCTCAAACAGTCCTCCTGCCTCAGTCTCCCAAAGCATTGTGACTACAGGCATGAACCACCATGCCTGGCCTCTATTTCCTTTCTGTTCTCTATTTGATTTACTTCTGCTCTGATCTTTATTATTTACTTTTTCTTTGGACTAACTTTCGCCTTAATCTGTTCCTCTTTTTCTTTTATTTATTTATTTATTTATTTATTTATTTATTTATTTCAGAGCCTCGCTCTGTTACCTGGGCTGGAGTGCAGTAGCAGATCTAGGCTCACTGCAACCTCCGCCTCCAGGGTTCAAGCGATTCTCCTGCATCAGCCTCCAGAGTGGCTGGGACTACAGGCGCGCACCACCACGCTTGGCTAATTTTTTTCGTATTCTTAGTAGAGATGGGGTTTCACTGTGTTAGCCAGGATGGTCTCAATCTCCTGACCTTGTGATCCACCCACCTCGGCCTCCCAAAGTGCTGGGATAACAGGTGTGAGCCACCGCGCCCAGCCCTGTTCCTCTTTCTCTGGTTCCTATAAGTATAAAGTTGAATTGCTCATCTGAGATCTTTCTTTCTTTCTTTCTTTTTCTTTCTTTCTTTCTTTCTTTCTTTCTTTCTTTCTTTCTTTCTTTCTTTCTTTCTTTCTCTTTCTTTCTTTCTCTCTCTCTTTCCTTTCTTTCCTTTCTTTCTTTCTTTCTTTCTTTCTTTCTTTCTTTCTTTCTTTCTTTCTTTCTTTCTTTCTTTCTTTCCTTCCTTCCTTCCTTCCTTCCTTCCTTCCTTCCTTTCTCTCTCTGTCTCTCTCTCTTTCTTTCCTTCCTTCCCTCCTTCCTTCCTTCCTTCCTTCCGTCCATCCGTCCTTCCTTCCTTCCTTCTTTCCTTTTGGAGTTTCAGTCTTGTTGCCCAGGCTGGAGTGCAATGGCGTGATCTCGGCTCACCACAACCTCCGCCTCCCAGGTTCAAGTGATTCTCCTGTCTCAGCCTCCCGAGTAGCTGGCATTACAGGCATGTGCCACCACGCCCAGCTAATTTTGTCTTTTTAGTAGAAACGGGGTTCCTCCGTGTTGGTCAGATTGGTCTGGAACTCCCGACCTCAGATGATCCACATGCCTCGGCCTCCCAGAGTGTTGGGATTACAGGCGTGAGCCACCGCACCCAGCCGATTTCTTCTTTTTTAACGTCAGTGTTCATCATTGTAAACCATCCTCTTAATACTGGTTTTGCTGCATCTAATAAGTTTTTATTGTTGTGTTTTCATTTTGTCTTATTTTTAAAATTTCCTTTTGATTTATTTTTTGACCCAATGGCTGTTCAAGAGTGTGTTGTTTAGTTTCCACAAATTTGTAAATTTGATTTTCTTGCTGTTATTGATTACTAATTTCATTCCATCGTGGTCAGAAAAGAAACTTGGCATATTTTGACCTTCTTATATATAAGAATGTATAAAGTGAACATGGAGCATTCTCAGAATATATCACATTAGGTCTCTTGGGGGGAAATTTCTATATATGTCTACTAGTTCCATTTGGTCTAATATGTAGTTCCCAACCAATGTTTTCTTATTAGTTTTCCTACTATTATTATTTGAACATAATAATAGTAGCTGTTAAATCTATGAAGAATAATGGAAATAAAATATTTTATTTTGATTTAATTTATTCCTTGTCTAATGTTCTTTTTTGTTTATATAGATCTGAGTTTCTGACCTATATTATTTTTCTTCTTTCTGAAGAATTTCTTGTCACATTTTTTGCAAGGTAGGTCTACTGGTGACAAATTCTGTCAGTGTTTGTTTGTGTAAGAAAGTCTTTATTGCTCCTTCGCTTTTGAAGAATGACTTCTCTTGATAAAGAATTAGAAATTTGTTGTGGGGAGGGGGCGGCGTGTATCAACATTTCACTTCACTCTTTTCTTGCTTCCATGGTTTCTGAGAAGTCTCATAGAATTCTTACCTTTGTTCCTCTATCAGTAAGGTTTGCTTTTCTTTTGGCTTTAATGATTTGCTCTTGGTCTTTGATTTTCTGAAGTTTGAGTATATGTCTAGGTTTAGTTTCTGTGGAGTTTGCTCTCTCTCTGTTACTATTGTTATTTTATTGTTATAATTTATTCTTGGTGTCCTCTGAACTTCTTGAATCTGTGGTTTTGTGTAGAATTGTAATGTAATTTTTCTACATTTCTTGATCATTTGTTTCTGTCTTTTACATTCTTTTTTTTCTCTTTGCATTATCATTTAAGAAATTTTTCTTGATATTCCTTCAAGCTCCCTGATTCTTTCCTACCCTGTGTCCAGTCTATTTAGCTCAGCAAAGGTATTCTTTCTTTCTGTTACAATGATTTCGATTTCTAGTATTTCTTTTTATTCTTTTGTAGAGTTTCCATCTCTCTGTTTACATCACCCATCTTTTTTTTTTGCAAGCCATACTCATTTTTTATTAGAACCCTTAGCCTATTAGTCATAGTTGTTTTAAATTACCACTGTGAAGATCTAACATCTCTGTCATATCTGAACCTGGTGCTAATTCTTGCTATGTCTCTTCCAACTGTGGGGTGTTGGGTTTTTGGGTTTTTTTTCTTTTTTGGCCTTTGATTATACTTTGCAAATTTTTGTTGAAAGAAGTACATGATGTGCTGTGCAAAAGGAACTGAGGTAAATAGGTGTTTAGTGAGATTTTCTGTTTATATGGATAGGAGTTTGATTGTGTTTACTATTTGCTTTAGCTACAGGTGTCAGAAGCCTAAACTTCCTCTGGTGTTCTTCACTTTCTCTCCCCTATTTTATGGGAGTCTTATGTTAATGTATACATGTGTGGAGACATTCTATAATCCTATGATCAGGTTTCCGTCCTTTAATGAGCCTCTGTCCCTCACAAGTGCTCCTCATAATTTTTGCCCCCTTGAATGTGACAGGAAGGCTAAAACTTACTGGAATTGGTTATTTCCCTTCTGGTTGGTTGGGTTCTGACAAAATCCATCAGTTAGGTTATGGTAAAATAGATTTTCCTCAAGGCAGACCTTTTTGCTGTTCTGGAAGTATTCAGAATGGCCACTTGTCCCCTCACTCTGCAGATTTTCACTGTGAGAACCTGGTAGGGCTCCTGGAGGTAAAACTTACAAAAGTATCTCTCCTAAGTAGCTCTCCTAAGACTGAGCCTCCCTGGTGTTTTTAACACTTACACTTGCCTACACTGGGCCTCCAGGAATTTGGCAATTACAGTTTAGGTATTCTTACCCTAGAACTTGTTTCTATGGGGGTTTCTATTAGAGGGCTTCTACTCTTGTATGTTGTTATTCCCTTTAACTACCTGTATGTATCTCCAATTTGAGGGGCAGTAGTTTCCCCTGTGACCTTCGTTGTTTGCCAGATTTAGGAAGAGTTGTTGATTTTCAACTTGTTCAGCATTTTTTTTTTATTTTGTTTTTTGGTTAGGTGAGTGATGACTTCCAAACTCTTTACATGCCAGACTGGAAACTGGAAGTCCTCCTCAGATTTAACTGCTAAGAAATTTAGTACTTCCTTTGAGAAAGTCTTTGATGTTTATTTTAAAAAGAGTAGGGTGTTCTCAGCTAAATATTTTTTTAACCAGCTGAAGAACAAAGCCAAATTTTTGTTGATTGAACAACTGAATTCCTCTTTTTGAAAAGTCTGTTGCACAGTGACACTATACCTGCTTTATCCAATTTTACTTTATCTTTTTAAATTTTATTTTTTTTTTAATAAAGATATGGTCTCACTCTGTCACCCAGGCTGGAGTGCGGTGGCATGATCATAGCCCACTGCAGCCTCAAACTCCTGGTTTCAAGCAATCCTCCCACCTCAGCCTCTCAAGAAGCTGGGACTGGCTGGGTACTGTGGCTAACGCCTGTAATCCCAGCATTTTGGGAGGCCAAAACAGGTGGATCACTTGAGGTCAGGAGTTAGAGACCAGCCTGGCCAACATAGTGAACCCCCATCTCTACTAAAAAACACAAAAAATTAGCCAGGTGTGGTGGCGGGTGCCTGTGATCCCAGCTACTCAGGAGACTGAGGCATGAGAATTCCTTGAACCCGCAAAGCAGAGGTTGCAATGAGCTGAATGAGCTGAGATCGCGCCATTGCATTCCAGCCTGGGCAACAAGAGCAAAACTACATCAAAAAAAAAAAAAAAAAAAAAAGGAAGAAGAAGCTGGGACTACAGACACATGCCACCATAAAAATTTTATATTTATTACAAGATTTATATTTAGTTTATATTGATGCAAACATTTGTGCAAGCTGCCTCAATTTCAAAAATTAAAACTATAGGTTTATACATTATATTTTGTTACTAGTTAACAGAAAGGGCTGAATTCTATGCAAGGAGAAAAAGGGAGGAAAAACGTGTATTTTTCCCTTGAGGGTCTCAGTTTTAATCTTAGGTTTGTTCATCTAACTGACATCACCCAGTTCAAATCACTTCTCCACAACTCAGTTTCTTCACCTACAAAATGAGAAGTTAAAGTTGGAAAGGACCTTATAAATCTTTTCTGGAATTCTCTCACCTTCATTTAAATGGATGTTTCACAAAAGGCAAAGAAACAAGGAAAAATCACCAAACTTCCACTATATGTGTGATTTCTACCACACTACAACATTGCTTATGGGAAAAATTATACCTATTAACTCTTAATTCAAGCCTATACTCAAGGAATGTAACATTCACTACAGAAACTCAGATTATACATTCTACCCTTTTTTTAAAAAAATGGGATAACATATACAACAGATCTTTTGTGTTCTTTTATCACCTAAGATTTTCTCTGCAGTTCTCTGAATTTCTAGATAGAAAATTCAATTGTATACCTTAAATTGTTGGGAATGAATGAATATAATCATTAAACTAGGATTATTAAGGATTGAACATGAGGTATGTGTGTGGAGGAAGTTGTGGAGGCAGAAAAAAATATATTTCACCCAATTAGTACCTTAAACTTTATAAATATTAGTGCATTTGATTAATATAAGTAATGTATGGAATAGCCATTCTGTGTTGTATTCAGTATGGAAATATTTGAAAGCAGCCTCTGTTTTTGTTTTTCCACATTGTTCCTTTTCTCACTTGAGAAATTTCTGGGTCACTAAGGGAAAAGCACTTGGGTCTAATTCAATTTCTAGATGGTTAAACAATATCAGAAATGCCAAACTGTTGAACCTCAACTCAACTTAAAAACTGTGCCCTGTACACTCACTCAGTAAGCTTATGGTCTGCTTCACTCTTTTCTCTACCAGATTGCCCCTTTGCCTTTTCATTCCTTTATAAAGCAACATTTCTTCCAGGTGAACACCCCAGCAAGGGCAGGCATCTAGAGTGGCCTCATCTATTAAGGTGACACAGTTAATCACCTTTGACAATATTCATCTGTGGCTGAAGTGAAGCATTTCCAGATCAGAAATGACATTTTTATATTATAGTGCTATTAACACCTACATCCACAAATGCAGAGATTTTGCCCAAGAATGCTAAAATTCACTTCAAAATAAATTATTTGACACCTAGATTGGTTAATGCCTGGTCAAATATTAACATAGACTTTTCAGGGCACATATAAATATGAACAATGTTGTACAAAGCTTTCTTAAAGTAGTATGAAGAAAAGAAGGTAGGAATAACCAAGTAGTAAAAAGGTTGGGAGTATTTGCTTCATTGTCAGTACTGGATGATATAGGTACAAATATTAATGTTCTTGCCACTTCCTTCATGCTCATGGGGAGGACACACAAATAGATAACTCCAGCCTACCCACAAACAGATGCTTAGTGCTAGAAGAATACTGCAAAGTATTGTGATGGAGGATGAAACAAGGATACAGCCTGCTAAGGAGTTCATGTAATGCTTCTTAGAGCAGGAGGACTCTGGGCTGGATGATGAAGAACAAGTAACAGCCATCCAAGTGAAGAAGTGAGGGTGGTGCATTTTAGTGTGGGGATATGCACAGAGACCAATAGAAATAGAATCAGTAGAGTAGTTGAAGTAGTCCAAGAAGTAAAACAGAGTGAGATATGAGGCTGACATAAAAAGTAAGAACAGGGTCTTAGAAAGCTTGGTATATTGGTCGGGTGCAGTGGCTCACGCCTGTAATCCCAGCACTTTGGGAGGCCAAAGCAGGCAGATCATGAGGTCAGGAGTTCGAGACTAGCCTGGCCAACATGGTGAAACCCCGTCTCTACTACAAATACAAAAATCAGCTGGGCGTGGTGGCGGGCACCTGTAATCCCAGCTACTGGGGAGACTGAGGCAGGAGAATCGCTTGAACCTGGCAGGTGGAGGTTGCAGAGCCCAGATCGCACCATTGCACTATAGCCTGGTGACAGAGCGAGACTCCGTCTCAAAAAAAAAGAAAAAAAAGAAGAAGAAAGAAAGCTTGGTATATCACATTCAGATGCTCAGAATTTACCCTGTAAAGCATGAGGTTTATGCAGTTTGAAAGAGAAGAATGATTACCAATGAAATTCTGTATGTCCCAAGGGAGACTGCCAAACTCTGATCACTGATCTTACCTCCAAAATAATAGGATTATAAGAAAGCTTGCAGATAACTTTTGATTCCTCCTTGCTTTTAACAGATGAAGAAACTGACACTTAGAGAAAGGTGAAAGTGATTTGTTTTAGGTCACATGGCAGAACTGTGGAAAATGTATGGTTAAAATTGAAATATCAAAAATCTCAGCATAGGATTATTCTCATGCAAATTAGATCCTTCTCCAGATCTAGTCAAATCTAATTTAGTGCTACAGTACCTTCCAACTCAATATAAGGTTATCATTTTCTAATTTAAAATAAGACAAAACTTAGGAAGTTAGCCGAACAGTTTGGAAGTTATTATTTGGAAGAATCAGCAGCATTCATGTCATAATTCACCAGTTCAGAATGTTAAATATCTAGCAAGAAGCCAAATTGGACATCAGAAGAATTCTGTTCTGTCTGCTAACTAAATAGGTTATTTTAGGTAATAACCTTTTGCCTCAGTGTTTTAATCTATAAAATGGAATTAAGTCTAGACTATCAACACTATTCACCTGCATAGAGAGTGTAAGAATAACGTGATAATAGATGTGGAACTGTATATTTAAAACTGAGTTTTTCCCTTCCTGTGTCCATGAGTTCTCATTGTTCAATTTCCACCTATGAGGGAGAACACGTGGTGTTTGGTTTTATGTCCTTGCGATAGTTTGCTGAGAATGATGGTTTCCAGCTTCATCCACGTCCCTACAAAGGACATGAACTCATCATTTTTTATGGCTGCATAGTATTCCATGGTGTATTATGTGCCACATTTTCTTAATCCAGTCTATCATTGTTGGACATTTGGGTTGCTTCCAAGTCTTTGCTATTGTGAATAGTGCCACAATAAACATACATGTGCATATGTCTTTATGGGGAGGGGGGAGGGATAGCCAGAGGAGATATACCTAATGTTAAATGATGAGTTACTGGGTGCAGCACACCAACATGGCACATGTATACATATGTAACAAACCTGCACATTGTGCACATGTACCCTAAAACTTAAAGTATAATAAAAAAAAACAAACCAAAAAAAACTGAGTTTTTCATGTCAGTGTTTCCCATATGGTGCATAACCCACTAGGACTACACAAGATGATTTTAGGTGGTAAGGGAAAAAATAAGCAAATGATTACATTGCCTCTCAGCTCCAAATCCACTCTTCTTTGCCTTGATGTATTTTCTCAGCTTGATCAAGTAAATATTTCTCCCTTGACAGGTGGTGCAATACTGGGCTTTGTCAATAGAGGATGTGAGAGAAATGTGGGAAGGTGTAGAAAGAACAAAGCGCTTGTCATCTTTGTTCCTGTATTTTCCTTCCTCTTGTGGCTCTCAGTGGTGTGCAGGACATTTAGCGGCATTCAATGTTTAATCAGTTTCTTAGGCCTCTTCTTTTGGGCTAGCTCCAGTTCACTGACATCTTAGTTGGTGGCTTCCTGTGCATAAGCTCTTCCCCAAGTCATGTCAAACCTTTCCCCCCTTCCAGAGAGCTGCATTCAAGGACAGAATCTCAGCACTGGGAGCTAGGGCTCTTCAAGTTGCATTCACTTCTTGAGTTCTCCCTCAGCCCTGGAGGTAGCAGCTTTTCCCTCTAGCTGCGATGTCCCTATTTCTTAGAAAGTTTTTTTTTAATCTTGTTTAGTAGTTAATCACTTTTACTAGTTAATACCTTTTTATATTAATTTTTCTCCTGCTGAAATTACTTGTGTGATTTCTGTCTTCTGACTGGTCTTTGAATAATACAGAATATATATTATTTAATATTTTAAAACTATTTAATATATTGATTACAATTTATGATTACTATGAAATTATAATTAGACTCAAATTTATTATTTTGTGGTAGAAATATAAAGTTTTCACCTCACGACAACTCACTTTTTAAATGTAAAGAAATGACTTACATATAATATTATGTAAATAAGAGTAAAGGTAGCTCAAAAATATGGCAAATTCATAGCTGTTCTATAAATGACTAGAGTTGAGGAAAGTCTAAACTGTTTAATAAGCAAAATACTTAAGACATTTAACAATAGTTCTTAGATTTCTAAATTATGTCCCTTATTAAACAGTTACATAGAATGTACTGTCAATTTATGTGCATAATCTTATTTTGGTCTTACAACAACACTGAAAAGTTATTTTATTCCCCATTGTATGTATAAAATGAAAATTAGATTTAGATAAATTAAGTAAATTGCCCAGATAAGGTACCTAGTAAGTGGTAGATATGCAACTCAAACCCTAATCTGATGTCAACATCTATGCATACTGTTTGTGATGGCAAAATACTGAAAATAAGCTGCAGGTCCCAATACACTAGGGGTTGGCTAAATTGTTCACCAAAAACAATAGAATGATAATTAACAAAAATAAATGATGAGTTATTAACTGTGTATTGACCTTGAAATATAACCACGATGTATTGTGAGTTGGAAATATAAAAACAGAATAAGTTAGAGTTGTATGTATTGAATGATCCTAATTTTGTAAAACAAAATGATGCATATGCACGTACATGTGTACATATAATTATGTTTATGAAAGTCTGGGAAAAACAAAGAAGGCTGTGCATCAGATTCTTAGAGCTGGGATTTTTGAAGTGGAAGGATAGAATTTCCTTTTTACTGAAATATATGTAAGACTGTGAGTGACTTTTACTTTCTCTTTAGCTTTTTTCAGTAATTTTTGAGTGAATTTTGAAGGACATTGTGTTCTTACAACTATGCTGATTGTCTATTTTGCATAATTCTCCAGTAAAAAGAAACTTAGCAGCTGCTTTCACTGAAGGCAGCAGTGGAAGATCAGAAGAAGTAATTCCTTGAGTGCAGTATCATCAAAATGCCCAGAATGATGAGTGTTTCCTCTGTCAATTTCCCATGCCAAGCATATTCTGGTCTCTAAAGCTGGTTAATCTGGATGAGTGGATTTCTCACCATATAGATATTGGCTAAGCAAGTTTGACTTATGGAGTCTTCTCTCAAAATATAGATATTCCCTGTTAACTTCTTCTACCATGAAGAGCTCAGCTAGATTTATAGAAGTTACAGATTCTAGGCCGGTCACGGTGGCTCACGCCTGTAATCCCAGCACTTTGGGAGGCTGAGGCAGGCGGATCACGATGTCAAGAGATCGAGACCATCCTGGCCAACATGGTGAAACCCTGTCTCTACTAAAAATACAAAAATTAGCTGGGTGTGGTGGCACGTGCCCTGTAGTCCCAGCTACTCAGGAGGCTGAAGCAGGAGAATCGCTTGAACCTTGGAGGCGGAGGTTGCGGTGAGCCGAGATCACACCACCGCACTCCAGCCTGGAGACAGAGCGAGACTTCATATAAAAAAGAAAAGAAAAGAAAAGAAGTTATAGATTCTAAACATGAAGGGTGAAAAGAATGGCATAGTGTTTTAATCACCTTCCAACTACTCCATTGGTGAGAGGAGGATTCCCTCCTCAGGGTTATAGAGATGGTTAAACATAAGACACCCTACACTGGACAGATGAAATTACTAGTGTATTGGCCGCATGTTCTCACTCATAGGTGGGAATTGAACAATGAGAACACTTGGACACAGGAAGGGGAACATCACACACCGGGGCCTGTTGTAGGGTGGGGGGAGGGGGGAGGGATAGCATTAGGAGATATACCTAATGTAAATGACGAGTTAATGGGTGCAGCACACCAACATGGCACATGTATATATATGTAACTAACCTGCACGTTGTGCACATGTACCCTAGAACTTAAAGTATAATACAAATATATATATATATAAAATAAATTATTAATGTATTGGTTACATGTACTCACAGTCTGCAAGAGAAGGAGACTGCATGCCCTGTGGGGCTACATGGATTGCACAAGGGAACAGAGTGCACAACCAGAGGATATGGGAGGCAGGCTTTGTAGTACCAAAAGGAGGAGGTGCCCTCTAGTTCCTGTAGGAAAAATGTGATTGGCTTATTTCAATAGTTCCATGAGCCAACAAAAAAACGTAAAACTTGCTACTCCAAGACTGTACTTGATCCTTTGACAGTAGGATTGTTTGGCTAAGGGACCTTATTCCCAGGAGCAAAGTGGAGAAGTGAACCTGTGGTTAGGCCATTTGAGGCCCTTTTGAGTTCATCAGCTGTCAAAGCAGTACATAATGTAGACCTTAATTGTAGCTTTTACATCACACGTGGACAACGGTTAAACTACAGTTTAACCCTAGAGGAGTTGGATTCAAACAGGGCACACTTAGAATGTGTGACTGAACTAAAATTCCAGTACAGTATCACCGTCTTATCCATGGTTTCTCTTTTTGTGATTTCAGTTACTGGTGATCAACCCAAGGTCCAAATATATTAAATGAAAATTCTGGAAATAAATAATTCATTCATAAGTTTTAAATTGTGGGCCAGGCACCGTGGCTCACACCTGTAATCCCAGCACTTTGGGAGGCTGAGGCGAGTGGATCACCTGAGGTCGACAGTTTGAGACCAGCCTGATCAACATGGAGAAACCCTGTCTCTGCTAACAATACAAAATTAGCCGGGCATGGTGACCCATGCCTGTAATCCCAGCTACTCGGGAGGCTGAGGCCGGAGAATCACTTGAAGCTAGGAGGCGGAGGTTGCACTGAGCCAAGATCATGCCATTGCACTCCAGCCTGGGCAAAAGAGCAAAACTCCGTCTCAAAAAAAAAAAAAAAAAAAAAAATTGTATACCACTCTGAGTAACATGATGAAATCTTGCATGGTCCTGTCCAATCCTGCCCAAGACATAAGTCATTTCGTTATCCAGTGTGTCTACATTGTACACGCCACCAACCTGTTAGTCACTTAGTAACTATCTCTATACTGCAGTGCTTATTGCTGAAGTAACCCTTATTTTTACCTAACAATGGCCCCAAGGTGCAAGAGTACTAACATGGCATATTGTTATAGCTTTTCTATTTTATGATATTAGTTATTATTGTTATCTCTTACTGTACCTAATTTATAAATTAAACTTTATCATAGGTATCTATATGGAAAAACATCATATATATAGGGTTTAGTATTCTCTGTAGCTTCAGTGATCCACAGGGGTTTGGAACTTATCCCCCGAGCATAAAGGGACTATTGTACTTTTCTAAATCCAGCAGGTTATTTATTCTAGGAGTTGTGTGGCAGTGTTTGCTTTTTGTCTTAAAATGTATTTGTTGACTTTGTAGAATAATATCACATATATCATAGAAAAAAAAGCACTTTATTTATTTCCATCAGCTTCCATAAATTGCTCTCAACTTCACACCAAAAAATTAATTTCTGTCCTTGGATTAGAACTTAGGCTGTTTAAACTAGGAGATCCTTTATAAAAATAAAAAACAGCAATGGCTTTTATATCATATGGCATTTTAAATAACGAACTTAAAAATTATTTTATTACAGCACCCATAAAAACATGAGCATGGGCATTATAATTAATCTACAGCTGGGCCAAGAAACAAACATCTGCACAGGGAATGGATTGTGCAAATAAGTACATTCTATTAAAAAGCCAGACAGATAGTAACATGTGGATTTAACTACCAAGGCACTGTAGGAAAAGCATATTTTCAGTAATAACCAGAAACACAAGTCATAAAAGTTTGTAACTCATGAAACCAACTCAGTTTGATAAACATAAATTAGATAAATAACCCAGGAAGTACTTTTTTGTTTGTTTTTTTTTTTTGAGACGGAGTTTTGCTCTTGTTGTCCAGGCTGGAGTTCAATGGCATTATCTTGGCTCTCTGCAACCTCCACCTCCAAGGTTCAAGTGATTCTCCTGCCTCAGCCTCCCGAGTAGCCGGGATTACAGGCACCCACCACTACGCCTGGCTAATTTTTTGTATTTTTTGTAGAGACGAGGTTTCACCATGTTGGTCAGGCTGGTCTCGAACTCCTGATCTCAGGTGATCCAACTGCCTTGGCCTCTCAGGAAGTACTTTTAAAGGACAGTATGTAAGAATTTGTTAAGAAAAAAGAATTTGTTAATCCTTCAGGGGCCATAAGATAGGCTTTGCAATGGACAGGTTGCTTTCTATCATCTGCCGGTTGTGTGACTGACCTCTTACAAGCTTGATCTCTCTAAGACTCTATTGACTCATCAGGAAAATGGGAATAATGAAACTTTTTCATATGTTTGCTGGAAAGAGTAAATAAGATTCTGCATAGCAAGGGTCTGGCAGAACCCTGGGTATACAATGAATTCTCAGTGAATATCAGTGTCATTGTTCACGAGCACTAGCAATAGTTCAACCCTTAGAAAAGCAGGCAAATTATATGTGATCCAAATGGTTCCCGAGTTATTCAGATTGATTACCTATAAATTGAACTCTTCCTAAACCCTACATAGGAATCACCTGGAAAATCTATTAAAATGAAGTGCTCTTGATCCAAAATTCTTGGATTCTGAATCAGCATATGAGCCCATGACTAATAGAGCCCGTGAATCTACCTTTTAAAAAGCAACTACTTCTAGTAATTCCTAGGTACACCTTAAGACACATTTGTATTTTCATCCCAAATAAGCAGATGTTTCCCAACTGCCTCCTTCACATTACCAGGATACTTAAACATAAGCACTAGTTACACTAGCTATGTTTTAGTGAGTAAGAAGCAGAAAAGAAAAAGGCACAGAAATAATATTTGTATTACAGATACATTCAGTAAAATATGCTGTCTGGAAGGAAAAGTTGCTGAAAGGTTTCTGTAGGGATACAACAAGACTCGTATAAAATATGTCCGTAGTCCTTTTGGGGGATATCATAAGATTATTTTCTAGTCGTTGCCAGGATCCTGCTTCAGAGCAATCGTCCCTCCCTAACAGCCTCCAGGAATGGAATGGCCTGATTCATTAAGGAATGGACGTCTATTCAGATTTCAATACCCCTAGGGAATATAGGAAAAAAAATTACTGAGTTTATTTTGATTGTGTAACTCCAGTGGATATAGAAACTCTACTAAATTCAGAGATCAGTGCCTTGTAAACATTGAGTCACAACTGGAATTCTGAAGAATGAATAGGGGAAAAAAAGAGCTGGAGAGAAATGCACCCCACTGTAAACTACTTGTGAGTGATGCAGGAGGTTTGGAGCATCTGAGGCA
This sequence comes from Homo sapiens, assembly GCF_000001405.40. Classification (NCBI taxonomy): domain Eukaryota; kingdom Metazoa; phylum Chordata; class Mammalia; order Primates; family Hominidae; genus Homo; species Homo sapiens. Next base: position 59,905,994 of record NC_000016.10, read on the forward strand.
GGAACGAGAAGCTGTTCAAAGGGAAGATCCCAGTAGAATGTGTGTGTGTGCACATGTGTGTGCGTGTATGCTAGAGAACTGCTCCATATCACCTTGCATCTGCCTCCTTTAAGGATGCAGCTATTACTACTACCCTAGGTGCTCATCTGATTCCCTTGATGATCCTAAGGTTCAGGCATTACTGTCCCAACTCTAGAAAACGAAACTGAGATTCAGAAAGTAACCCGCCTAAAGTCACCTAACTAGAAAGTGTCAGAAATGGAATTGGGACTTGTCTGTGTTAGGACACGTCTGTATTATTTCGAACATGCCACGTTATCTTAGAAGCAAAATAAGCAAGGATATAAAAAAGCCCCAAGCCCTTCCTTTCCTCATGCCCACTAAAATAAAAGTGTGGACAGTGTATAAAACAAAATGGAGCATGCTGGGGAAGTAAGATATGCCAGCTACATAATTTAAAACCATGGCAATAATAATCTTCCTCCCTCGGTTTTCTTCCATTCCTTCCACAAGGTATTCAATCAGTAATTGCCATACATCAGTCACTCTGCTACAAACTGTGTAGAGAATGGTGCTTCTCTGAATTCTTGTTTCATCCTCTCCTGGATTCACTGTACTCCAGATATGCTACTTTACTTACTTTCTCTCAAATACATCATCAGTTTTTGACCACTTTCCCATGTGCTAAGGCCCTTTTGCTTTACAATTTTGTTTTTTTAGAAATGAGGTCTCAGTCTGTTGTCCAGGCTGGAGTGTACTGGAGCGATCACAGCTCATTGCAGCCATGAATTCCTGCGCTCCAGTGATCCTCCTTCCTTGACCTCCCAAAAGCTGGGATTATAGGTATGAACCCTTGTGCCTGGCAAAGACCCTTATATATTTAGTCTTATTTTATTCTCAGACTTATCCTATGATCCCCTAATTTCTCTTAATATCACAGAGAAAGTATTTGGTACATCAAAGATTCTTGACTTTCCTGGGGACAATCCAAGCAAATAAGGTGGAGGCAAAGGAGGGAAGCTATGCTTTCAGATTTTGTAAAACAAAATTGGGGGTAGCAACGGTTATTTGAAATCTTGTAACTCTTAAGCAGTGATGCCCTACGGCCCCTTTAGCCTTCAGCACAAATAAGCTTTGACTCCTCCAGCACGTGTCAAATTTATAATCATGGTTTATAAATATCTTCAGCCTGTAGCAAATTGCTGCCACTATTTTCTGTTTCTATCCCAAGGCATTATGAGATGAGTACTTAAACACATACACAGACATACCTATATATTATTTGTAAAATAATGTATATCCCCTTTATCCCCAAAGCAATCTGCAGTTAGTAGTGGCATGTCGTGCTTTACTCCAGACGACTAAAATTATACCATACTAAACCCTCCAAATGATTTGATAAATCTGGTAGAGGCAGCCCAAAAGAATGAGTATTATTGTGTCATAAATGGCCCATTAGATTGATTCCGGTAAGCAGAGAGCTTTAAAAGGCATAAATTAGGGGAATGAATTGGACTTCCCTTATGGAGTAACTCAGTGGCATTGCCAATTCCGCATGAAGCAGCCCAAACACTGCTATTCTAAGGGATGATGGCCCCAGTGACGAATTAAGTGCACATCAGGGGAGAGATGCGGCGCTCCCCACTTAATGGTTTCATTTCTCTGAAGTTGCTGGAGGTGGCCAGTACAGGACAGGCAGGGCAACCTCCCAAATATCAAGTCTCACATTGCTTTGTTGTTTAATTACGTATGCATAAATGCCAAGTGATCTATAAAACATGAGCCTCTGACTTTTAATTGGGTGTTTTCCTGTTTCACTATCCCCTGCTGTTCCCTCTCATGTCTCTAAGCTGCTCTTTTGCTCCTCTATTTATAGGAGAGACATTCCCAGGCCTCACGGGGCTCTGCTCCCCTTTCCTGCAGCTAGTTGCAATTATGTGAACACACAGGTCATCTTGTTGCCATGCACTTATTTTCAAAGGAAACCCTGAAATGACTCCTTGATGGAACTTATTGGAATCCAAAATAAATCACCTTTTACTTGGGCACGGTAAACATAAAACTTCAAGGAAAACAACAAAAAAAACCCTAACTCCAAAAAAATCAATAGATCCTTATATGTTAGTTTTATTAGTGACCTTGTCAGGGTAAAATAACAACTTTCGGTTTCTCTGGCACTGAACACGCTATTTTATGGGCAGAACAAAATGGCCTTTATTTTCACCTTTCAGGGGCCGGAGGGCACATGGCTGCATAGAGGAGAGAAGAAATGCACTATATACCCCTCTATCCAGGCAGCTGGCAGATCCTCCCTTGCTTCAAGGCAGTCATTGCCTCCATGGTGTTTTCAGCCCAGGGCTAAGATTAATGACTATGTTCATTTCATGATGGATATTGCTTTCCTACCAGGTAAACTTATCTGAAAATTACCCTGAATTAGTAAATACTTACTGAGCATTTACTACATTCTAACCATGATACTAAGCACTTCATATGCAGTATCTTTATTGCAGTTATCATTTCTTCACATTTTTCTATATTTGTTTATAATCTGCCTCCTCTAACCAGATTATAGGCTCCAATGGGTCAAGGGCTTTGTCTATTTTGTTTATTGGTATATTACCAGGTCATTGAGCAGTTTCTAGCTAGAGTAAATAAACAATAAACATTTATTAAATAAATGCATTATTTAATCAATATGAAAAGCAAAAGCTCTATGCTATGCTCTGGTTGTTTTTGTCCTGCCCAAAATTCAGATGTTAAAATCCTAACCTTCAAGGTAATGGTATTAGGAGTTGGGGTTCTTGAGAGGTAATTAGATCATGAGAGCTCCCTCATGATGGAGATTAGTGCCCTTATAAAAAAGAACACAAAAAGCTAGCTAACACCTTCCATTGTGTGAGGTCTCAGAGAGAAGGTGCTATCTTATTGTGTCCCCTTATTGAAGTTAGGAAGCTCTCAAAAGTTACAATCTTTCTATAATCATATGTTTCTTACAGTAACATTGTATTTGGACACCTCTTCATTTCTACTTATATTTAATACAAAAGAAAGTTCATAAACGTACATAATAAAATGTTAGGCATTTACATAGTTAAGGAAACATGTCTTTACCAGACACCGAATCTGCTGGTGCCTTGATTTTGGACTTCCCTGATTCCAGAACTGTAAGAAATAAATGTTTGCTGTTTATAAATCACCCAGTTTATAATATTGTTATAGCAGCCTGAAGAGACGAAGACACTGCAAAGATACATAACTTCCTCCAGGCTATATAGGTAGTGAGATTTAGGATTTGAACTAATGCTGTCAAACTTCAGAATCCGTGCCCCCTTTTACATTCCAGTGATAACTAGTGTATTGGCTTTAGGCTCACAGATAAGATTGTCATGTATAATCGAGTAACAGAGAAATTCCACTACTCGTATGTCTATGAATCACAATTTTGAGCAATGTGGTCTGTTACTCTAGAAAGCAAAGCATTCCACTCTAAGATTCTTCTCAATTATACTCACAGTTGCTATGTGTATGTGAAAACTCGTGGGGGGTGATGGAAGGAAAGAGAAAAGAGAGTGTAGGAGAAATAGGGAGATAAAAGGGAAAGTGAAGGGAGAAGCAAAAGGTGAGGGAAAAAGAGAGAAAGAGATAAACCGAGGGAAAAGAAGCATATTTTGGTTTTGAAGATTTATTCCTCTCCTGAGAAATCTGAACCTCTCCTCTGTGTCGTTCAGTCTCTGTAAACGGTTGAGTGGTGTAGATTGTTGTGAATCTATTAGCAGTGATTTGCAGCAGACCAATTTAGAGGTCACTTAGGCATGAAAACACTGAGCAAGAAATTGTATACCTAATGAAACAATATCAGTGATAGCATATTTAAATGAACAGTATCAGTAATAGCATATTCTGAATGTTTCATTAAGTCTGAATTGTCAGAATCAGATCACTGCTGCTTAATAGATTTTACCTTCTTTAACAAGTGTTTCCATATTGGTCATATCGTGTCTCTTTATTGAAGTTAGGAAGCTCTCAGAAGTTACAATTTTCTTATAATCATATGGTTTTTATAGTAACATTGTATTGGGGCATCTTTCTTCATTTCTACTTATATTTAATACAAAAACAAGTGTATAAAAAATCCAACATATGTTCCTGTGGCAAGAGTGTGCATAATAAAATTTTAGACATTTACATATTTAAATTAAAATACCTTTAAAATAAAGTTGCCAGTTCAATCTAGTTTTATATTCCGGAGAACATGATATAGGAAAAGTAATGCTATCAACCAATAATAGGTGCACTTTCATTTCAAGATCATCAAGTAATAATATTAGACCTTCAGAGACCGTAATAAGAACACTTTCATATTCTTGGGAACATGTTTCACATTTTTATTGACTGCATTCAAGCTGTCTTTCTGGATTATTCTTAGGTTTATATGAAAAGAAGGGGAAATATTGATAGCAGTTTTCACAAGAGTCAATCAGTGGAAAAAATCAATCACCTGGGCTGTCCACGAAGGAGATTCTATGTACTCTTCAAAATAATTTCATAATGGTTCCATGCCTGTTTGCATAGAGCCCAATTATCTATCTTATGCTCCCCAGTACAAATGCTGACAAATGAGGCAAAAAGGTCTTAATACCTGACATTAGTCTGCAACTGTGCCAGTTGCCTTATTTTCATTGCACTTGATCTCATTGAATGCTCACAAAATTACTGCAAGGAAGGTATACATTTCACAGAAGGGGGAATAGCTTATCAAGGCAAAAACTGTAAAAGTGGTAGAATTAAAGCCCAGATCTCTGACTTCACAGTTTTGGTGCTCTTAATGATGTCACACTGCAAATGGCCTTCAAGCAGATTCTGTGCAGCATCCTGCTTGTCCTCTGCTTGTTGCAGAGTGGAATTTTAGATAAGCTAGGTCTCTGTTAGAATATATCCACATAAGCTAGGCCACTGAATTATTTAAGTGATTTTTTTTAAGAAGTGCTTCATATAGAAGGCAGATTGATGTCCTGAATGTCATGGACTACATTTTAGTAAATCACAGGTTGATTTTGTAAGGTACATTAATCAACAGAAGACCTTTTACTTGCCAGAAAAAGCTTTTAAAACATAGCATGTTTTCTTGGACAAGAGAAAAAGTATGCAAGAGTAATATTCCTATGCTGGTTGCAACTAGAGCTACAAAAGCTCAAAAGTTGAGGTTAGGAAAAGATTTTTGGCTCCACTGCCTTGTCTCCTTAGGTCTTTTTATTTCTGTTCTTTCTCCTAAAGATGTCATCATCCTCCAAAAGTTCAACTATATATTATAGTCCCCTGCCTCCTGCTGAGCTCCTGGCAATATTTCTAACATTTGAGGGGGCTCTCTTTGCTTCTTCTTTGGGTCTCTCATATATGATACTCTACATTCAAGTTCTTCTTCCCTCCAAACCATCACTTTCCCTCCAAACCAGCTTGTTATCTGTTTTCCTACTTTATAATAAAACCCAGACTTGAAATATTGAATCCGTCTTTCATCTTACAGTGGGAATTGGTAGAAGTACTGAATTCACAGTGTAACACAGCTGACCACATGGAAGAGATTCTGCAAGCAACACAAAAGTTAGCCTTGAGTAAGTTGTACTAAAAAAGATTTATACTGGGCATTTTAGTTTTCTCTTCTCCTCCACCCCCTGTTATTTTAGAGCTATGATTCTTAGAGATGAAACCTTAGAGATCAGAATTCTTTCTTACAGAAATTCTTTTAGGTTGGTGATCTTAATTCCATTTTTTAATATAAGCAAACTAAGGCTTAGTGCTATTAGATAACTGTAAAAATGGCATGGCTAACCAGTGGTGGGATTCAAACATCTTATAATTTTTATTAATGACTTAATATGACCAATCTGAGTTTTCTAAAAATATGCATAACTACTGCATATCTCTATTCAATGAAAACAATGTACTTTATAATTTGTATTTAAATGCAAATGTGCCTAGAAGTGGTAAATTTTAGTAGTATTTTGAAGATAGAGTCAGCATGACTTGCTGATATATTGGATATAGGGCACGAGAAAAAATGATGAGTGAAAAATAATTTCAATATTTTGACCTTGTCAACCTAGACAACAAACAGGAAGAGGCTCTATAAAAGGAAAGATGTTTATCTGGGAGTAATGCATCACAATGGCAATATGCACATGATAGTAAACTATGTGCATAGTTAAGGGGGTAAAAGAATACAAAGATTTTTAAAGGTCAAAATGAGGAAGATTACATAATTGTTCTGGAATAATTATCCTTCAATAACAAGGGTGACACGAGTCTGAGGTTGAACAGACAGCTGCTGGGAGGATACCCTTGCAGAAGTATTTTTGGTGAAAGATTGCAATGGTCTTTTTGCCAGGTTGTGTTTTTTGCAGTCTTTCGTGACAGTTTTTGTTCTCCGGCATATAAGCACGACAACACTCACTTCATGGCCTTTCCTGGCTCTATTTATCAGGGTTTTCTTAACATTAGTGCCTACATTTTGAATCTGACAACTTTCACAACCTTGACAACTAAGAAGGATGATTGCCATTACTGTGATTAGGAAGGCTATAGGTGGGGCAGGTTTGGGGAAAATTTCAGGAGTTCATTATACAATATGCTGAATCTTCAATGTCTCTTAGACATTCAAATGGTGATTTTGAGTAGGCAGTTGAATACATGAATCTGGAGTTTAGGAGAGAGGCCTTTGCTGGAGAAAAATGAGAGTTTTTAGATATGGAATTTTAAAGCAATAGACTAGATGAGCTCATCCAGGGAGTAAGTACAGATAAAAAAGAGAAGCTAACCAAGGATAGAGCATTGGACATTTCAACATGGAGCTGAGAACAGAAATAGGAACCATCAAAGAAGGCAGAGAAAGAGAGGCAGTGAGGGGAGAGGAATACCAAGGATATTTGGGGTTCTGTGAGCCAAGGGATAAGATTTCATCAAGGAGGAAGGAGCGTCTGCGTAAAATGCCAGTGGTGAGTCAGGAGGAAACGTGGATTTTCCATTGGATTTAGTAACATGGCAGTCGTGCATATGTGTTGGAGGGTAAAGGGAGAATTGCAGGGGTAGAATGGATAGAAAACCTGTAGAAAAATCTATAGTCAAACATACATAAAGTATCTATTGTTTCTTAAATAAGACTTTAAATATTTTATTTTGCTTCACTCAAGCTACATAATTAGTTCAAACTTGAGTGAATTACAATGGACCTTGAGCAAGAACAAAAATAAAAGAGAGAGAAACAGAAACAAATATAATATGTCTAAATAGCATAATCTGGCTTTGTTTGGTTTTGCTCTGGAAAAGTATTTTAATGTAAGAATATCACATTTTAGGGTAAATTTTATAAAAAGTGGAATATCAACCTAATATGCTATTTTCTCTACAGTATATCAAATAAAATTATATCTGAGATTTGTGATATTTTGATTAGATTTTTCAAGTTGCATTCAGGTCCTTTTTCAGAGAGCAAATAATTTTCATTCTTTATGTTGGTTTAGGGAATAAATCAGCTTTAAGTGTTCTGAGAAGTTTCAAGCAGGATCAAAGCAAAAGTTGATTATACTTTTAGCTAAAGAACTTGCTGAACCTTGAGGGCTCAGTGACATTATTACATGGACGTGAGCATGGATTGTAAAGTGCTAATTCTCAAACAAAGACACAGCTTACCATGTTTCATAACCTTTAGGATTATTTCACAACCACAATGTAGAATATATTTTATTTGGTGTGGTGGGTTATACTATCTCTGGTGGATCAAGAATTCTATTGAAAATCTAGCCTCATAAGATAGCCCTTCTTTGGACATGACGTGGAATTCACTTTTAACTAAGCCAAGGACAATAAGAGTTAGTGCTCCCTAAGTGTACTTGCTTATCATTATTTAGCATACTAGATTGAAATGCACAATGTGTGAATCATAGGGTGAATATGTGCTCAAGAAGTATCCAAACAGGTCAAATATTCAACTAAAATAGTTCCATACCTATAATTACTGTTGAGTCTCATTCACTAAATACTCTTAATTTTCATTATAACTTAAATTAAGATAATTTAAATATAATACAAATATTTAGTGAGAACATAAAGTTGAAAGCACAATAGAGTTTTATTTTAGACTCTTGATGGCAAGCAAAATATACCTACTTGTCCTTATGTAAGTAAAAGGTATTTTATTATAAGAGTTTGATTGGTTAGGATCTTAAGACACGTCTAAAAGTAGGTCTCGGGAATGAATTGAAATCAGATACTTGGACGCCAGCAGAAAAGTTTTTCTCATCTTTTTGCATATTGGTTTTATTTTTGTTTCTTGTTGGAAACTGACATTTGCTGTTTTTCAGGTTTCATGGTAGAACATGCATTACATTATATTTCCAGTTTTGTATCTTCTCTCCCTAAGAGAACAGAGAGACGAGGCTGGAATATCTTAATCCTATTGCCAAGCTCCCCGAGAAGAGATTCTGGCTCAGTATGGTACAGGTACTCACCCCCCTTGAAATCTGAGTCAGACTGTACAATATTCTTGTTTTCCCGTGTTCATTTGAATGGAACCATGAAAAAAAAAAAGCATCCAGAAAATTAGGAAATGCTGGATTGACAATAAAATCATCTTCCAATAGTATATTTTAAATTAGCTCTTGATATATATCCACTGGGCATTGAAGTCCTTAGCACAGCTTACAAAGATGGTTCTGTCTCTTTCAGGGATTTTATCATGACCCCTGATTATGCAGTTCAATCAATGAAAGTAGCTGCTTGGGTACTGATGCAAGTAGAAGTATATTAAACAAAGCTAAGTATTGACTATCACCAAAAACTGGATCTTATGTATTTCACCATGTGATTCATCCAATTTTCTCCACCTATTCTCAGATTACACACTTACTTTTAAAGACATAATAATAACACACATAAAAATAATGTGATATAAAATATAATAAATTCAATTTACAACTATCACAAGTAACTTGGACCATTTTTGCAGAAATCTAGTTATCCTACAATTTTGTCTTTTTAAGGTAAGTTTCTCTATAATGAAAGAGATTTTGTCAGAGCAAATATGTAACTTAGTTGTATTAAATTGTAGCCAGGAAATAAAAATATGGACCTACTTACCATAGTGAAGGCCTCAGATCCATAGTTTGAATAAGTTTAACAACAGAAAAAATATTTATAGAATACTCTGTATAGATGACAAGTAGTTATAATAATTAAAAATATTTACTTCGTTATCATTTAAGGTAATGTAATGAGCTACTTAGTTTTCATTTCTGAATTAAGTTCAAAGTATAAGCTCTCAGTTTATAATTACATGGTCAACAGAAGTATGCACTACAAAGAATGTTAATTGGTTATGTAGCATGTTAACTCTAGGAGAAGTTGAGTGCATAAGAACTCTTTGTAAAATATTTTTAACTTCCTATGTATGCACAGTTATCTCAAACTGAAATATTTTTAAAAAGCAAAGAAAAATACTTGTAGTAGATATGTCAAGATTGCATTTATATAAGTTTCAAGATAGGCAAATCTAATCTATGGCAATAGAAATCAAAGCAGCAATTGCCTTGGGAAGAGGGCAACAGCAGGAAGGAAGCACAGAGAACTTTCCAGGGTAATGCGTGGGTACACAGGTTAGATGAGTGTATACATTTTTCAAAGCCCATAAGACTATGCACTTATGATTGTCTGTGTGTATACACGCATGTACATATCATCGTATTTAAATTATAAGGCCAGCCGTGGTAGCTCATGCCTGTAATCCCAGCACTTTGGGAAGCCAAGACAGATTAATTGCTTGAGCCCAGGAGTTAGAGACCAGACTGGGCAACATGACTAAACTTCGTCTCTGCAAAAAAATTCAAAAATTAGCCCTGTGTGGTGGTGCACACCAGTAGTGCCAGCTACTCAGGAGGCTGAGGCAGGAGGATCGCTTGAACGCAGGAGGCGGAGGTTGCAGTGAGCTGAGATAGTGCCAGTGCACTCCAGCCTGGGCGACAGAGTGATTGACATTAAATAAATAAATACATAAATATGTAAAATTATGTTTATACTTAAGGAATAGCCAAAATATTTTGGAGTAGAAATCATAAAATGCACGAACTTATACAAATCTTGTAATTTTATTAGAAATTACAATTTTGCCACCCAGCAAGAAGTAGTTAAGCTTCTCAGTGCTTTTCTTTCACTATACCAAGCAGATTTCTGAACTAGTTAGGGTAACAAAAGCTGCTAAAAATAGCCTCAAAACACATAAAGATTCAAACACAATAGAGGTTTATTTTGGCTTTGCATACAAGTGGCACTCTTCTGTGTCTCGGGGAGACCTATTCTGTGGAGTGCTGCCTGGACCTGGCTCCTTTCATCTTACCCATCTGCCATTCTCTAGGGCATTGTAGTTATTTAATGCTTCTGTGCAAGATATGGGTAAGAACAAAACCAAACAAACAAACAAAAACGTGGAGGAGACACATTCTCTCTCTTCTTTAAAAAAGCCTTGGCTGAGAATGGCACACATCAATTCTTCTCATCTTCCATTCACAATCAAAAGTCTCATGGACACATATAGAGGTAAGAGGAGCTAGGAAATGTAGTAACTGGTTCAACAATTATTTACCAATGACAACCTCATTCTGCAGAAGAGAGAGCATGAAATTTGGTGAACATGTAAAGCTCTGTAATACAATAGCTATTGCATCTGATTTTCCTCCTTAATATTGAATTGTGTTTTCTCATGTCAATAACAATTTTGTTTTCGACAGATAATCTATCTAATTTTCCACCCTTGCCTATGTCATAATTTATTTAAAGATTCTGCTTTTTGTACATTTCTTGTATTTCCTTTCTATTTTAATTTTTTTAAACTTTGCTATATTTTGTTATCATTAACATATTGAGAAAAATATTCTTACAAATCTATTTTTTTCTTAAAAGTTAAAGCTAGTTAATTTAGTATTACCAGATTAAATACTGGTTTTGAAAGCTCTTGATAGATGCTGATTTTAAGAATGAATATACTTATTTTATCAGTGAATGATAGAACAAATGTACCTCACCTTCGCCAGAACTTGGTAGTACCACTGTAACAAAAGTCAGTGTGATATATAGAACATAATTATCTGTCATGAATTCATGCAAGCATCTGTAATCTTACTGAGAGGCAAGCCAGTGCAGCTGTACGTCTCTTCCTTCTCTTCATTCATTTCCAGCTTTCCTTCTAGGTGTTGCTTGAGAATCAATGAACAAAACAAAACACAAAATTCTGCAAGTGAAATAAAGTAACTTGAATGCATTCCTCTGTGGATATATTTAATTTGCATTTATCTTTTGAATTAAAAATTTATGTTTAAAGAAATGCATTCAGATTGGCTTTTGGTTTAAATATTGAACAAGACTTATGCTTCAAAGTTTTACCCTCTAGGTACAAGGTCAATTTTGTGTCAGAAATCTGTTATATGACCAAGGCCAAAATTTTCTTCTTTTTTCATGAACATGTAACTTTTTATTCACTAAAACCCCTGAGGTTGGAAATTAGCCACTCTTCATGGCTGATTAAGGTTTACCCTAGCATAACTTTTCTTCTAGGAGCCATGGATGTATTTTTGAGATTTCTCCTGCATTTATATCACAGCTATCCTTTTAGAGGTAATAAAGGAATACTCTGCACTCCACAACCTGCTCCCTTCATCCCCCAATAACATTCTTAGAAATGTATCTGTAGATATCATTTTCCATATAAACTTTACACATCTCAGCTAGCAAAAAGAATGAAAAATGGAGAATCTTAAAAAGGCCTTCTATTATTTTTTTCTTCAAACACACCAGGTTCGTGGCACCATAGAATTTTTGCACCTGTGGTTTGATCCCCCTCGAAAACTATTCATCTCTGCCCATGCCCCCAATTTAGCTTGACTCTCTCCTTCTTATCATTAAGGACTCAAAACCCATCTAAATTAACTCTGTTCCTCCCCTTCTGTGCATTGCACTCTCTTATTCTCTTCATAAGATTTATCACTGGATGACAGTATCTAATAGCTATCTTAATAGCTTGAGCTCTAAATAACAGGAATTTGGCCAGGTGCGGTAGCTCACACCTGTAATTCCAGCACTTTGGGACGCCGAGGCAGGCAGATCATTTGAGATCAGGATTTGAGACCACCCTGGCCAACATGGTGAAACCTGTCTCTACTAAAAATACAAAAAAATTAGCCAGGAGTGGTGGTGTGTGCCTATAATCCCAGCTGCTCAGGAGGCTGAGGCACCAGAATCGCTTGAAGCCGGGAGATGGAGGTCACAGTGAGCTGGGATTGCACTGCTGCACTCCAGCCTAGGTGACAAAGTGAGACCCTGTCTCAAAAACATAAATTAATTTAAATTAAAATTTAAAAAAAACAGGAATTTTTTTTCTATTTTGTCCACCACACTAATTCTAGATCCCACAATAGAGCCTAACAATAAGTAGATGCTGAGTGAATGAATGGGATTAATTAAATAAACTAATAGATGACAAACAGATCTAGGATGGATAACTTTTAGATACAGTTTGTTAAATATATCCTACCACTTGTATTTTGTTTTTCAAATGACACATCTCGTTTACATATATTGTTCATTCATTAGGAAATAATCAGCAGGAATGTTGGCAGAATATTGAATACAGACTTCATGAAATTTCTGCATGGGACTCAGATTATGTATCTTCTCCTAGTCTCCCAGTGCCTTCTTCCCAGCACTGCACGTTCTGGAGAGGTCAGTTTGTGGGAGTATGGAAGGTTGGGGCTCTTCTTTCTTAGAGGGGCAAGCTTAGACCAAGGAGTCCAGGAGCTGGGAAAGAGCTGGAAGATAAATTCCTCTTTCTTACTTCTTCCCATAGACCTTTCGGAAGCACAGTGATTCCCTACACATCTGAAGTAGTCCTGATCTTGTCAATTCAGTAATGTACCACTTGTATCTGCTTTCAGCCCCTCTCAAACCCAATAAATTTTCAACCTTGTTCCTGTTGCCCTGGGGATATAACTCAGGCACTATTGTACCTGAAGCTTTCCCTCAGGCTTTGTTTTCTAGGAAATTTGGGCTAAGTATCTGGTTCTGGACTTTTCAAAACATTTGAAATAATATCTATGTTCCCAATCGATGTGACAGTATGTTTCAATGAACAGATCAGATTGAATTCATTTCTCATTGAGTGAGAATAAAACAGAGCATGCTAAGCCAAAATTGAAGCTCAATTATCAGGTTCCTATGTCCTCAACAATGCTACCACTACTCAGGAAGAAGGCTTTAAGGAATAATAAGCTGAGATTCAAATTTGAAAAACAAATATGTTACTGTGTTGCCTATGTCTCTGAAACATGCCCTTTTCCAATAATATTTTTTATGCATTGTGTATTGATTAAGAATACCATTTTGAGGGGTCAAGGAGATACATGGTTTCATATATCAGCTCTTCTACTCTTTCATAGTCTCACAGATAAAAACTCACTAAACCTTCTCCATTCTCACGTAAACCACATTTTCATTAAAAGGGCATTACTCTTTAGTTTCATTAGTATGAGGATTAAATTAAATGAGGTGAGTAAAGCATTTAGCATAGTTTCTAGCTGTATGCTAAGAAGAGGCCCATTTTGCCCAAGTAGAAAGTTTGGTTGTCCTAAAATTGCTCCTCTCACGAGATCTGAGGCTGCACCTCTGTCTCCATATCACTTAGAATGCAACCCAATTGCCTACGAATTCATTCCCAATGTGATAGAAAATAGAAAAGATGGGAATTTGGACGATATTTTACAAAGGGGTTAGAGATCAGGAGCTATTGATGTAGAAGATAAGAGAGGCACTATGTTCAAAGGAATGAGGATATTTTTCTCTCCTGAACCTTTTATAGCATCTTGCTCATTGAGAAGCTAGTGATGCTCAGACTGAAAAGTTGTGGGAGAATCTCCTGTATCAGCCTCTACACAATCCCTTCTTGCTTCATCTTGTGATGGTAAAACCCTACGAACAAAACAAAATGAAAACAAACAGGAAACCCAACACACAAAACTGTAGAGTTCTCTCATTTTGTTATGAGCAGTAACATAAACGGTTATTTGTATGAATTTATTTGATTTTAAACTTACTATTATTCAAGGGTTAAAGTTAGATATTATGCTATAAGATTAATTGGAAATCTAAGGGACTTTCAAGGTACCAGTCCTTACCAATAAGGTAAGAAATACCTTGTTTTAGAAAATAAAATGCTGTTACAGCAATTTAACACTTTTCATTGTGTATGAGGATAAAGGTCATGTTGTCCTATTTTGATCTCTCTTTTGTAGAAATAAATGATGACCACCCAAATGAAGACAGTCAAAGGCTATTCATTCAGGGCTTGCTATATAGCCAGGGAGTCAGTTGCTATCACTTGAGTTTGGCAAAGACTCGAAGTTGGCAGGGGTTTGGGAGAGCTTCATAGTGAAAAACATGGAAGGCTTCAGGTATCCTTTGATTGGAAGTTGTTGGCACAGAGAAGCTGGAGGTGGACTCACTAGACATGAAACATCTGATGTGAATAATTTGTTTGAGTATATTTAGCTTTCTTTTATTGGTCCTGCATTGAAAGCAGAGGCAAAATAGGAAAGCTGTGATTTAAAACTAAGTTCTAACCACTCTGGGTGGAATAAAAAGAGCTTATGGTCTGGCTTTCTGGAATGGTGTTGCAGAGCTTGTGAGTAAGAATTTTTCCCATTGTCATGAATGGCTTGGCCATTGCCTGTTTTTATGTTCAGTCTCTTGCTTTATTCACGTAAACTAGGGAGACCCTCTTCCTATGAGGGAGGAGCTTGGACCCATATTACTAATCATCTCTTACTTTCTGTCTTATGTCCTTTTGTGATCTCATAGTTAAAAGAAACATTGAGTAAAGCTGTTGCCTTACCTCTTTGGGAGAAGTTCTAGCCATTCTTCTTTTATTTTTTTCACCAATTGGCCATTTTTTACCCTCTGTATCACATAAGAAAGAGAGATGCATGTGATTGTTAACCTTGATCATACCTCACCAAATTATTATCCCTCCACTGTTTAAAGTGTTAAAGTTTGCTTCAATGAAAGAAAACCTAGACATCTCTTTTTTTGTTGTTTGTGAAGGTGCAGTTTCCTTCTCTTAGGAAATTATTTTTCTTTCAAAATAGTAGCTAAGCAAGGAAATAGTAACCATGGTCTATGATGATGCTAGGTCATAAACACACATTTTCTTTTGATGTTTATTTTCCCAACCAGTTGTATTCTTGGCCAATCTTTTCTCTTTCTCTGCAATGCCAATAATTGAGAATTGTGTCTGTTCTTTGGGGTGAAAATTGACAAAAACCAATTGTTAGCCTTCTTTATTATGGTTTAACATAGGTCATCAAAGGAGATTAAAAAATGATTTTTCCAACTGTTCCTGCCTACGTCACTAGTGTTCTTCATAGGGATTTGGGGACAAATGACAGTCACTAATAAAGTTTTACTCTGCCTTGCTTCATTCTTGTGTATACATCTCCTTAGAAGAACTCAAGAGAGGACATATTGGCCAAATGTCATCTCAATTTCATCTCACTTTATTATTTCCCAAAGAGCAAACTAGATAACATTTTAACTCCCAATAAGAAAATTAATTTATACAGATTCAAAACAGAATGCATGTGACCCAAGGCCAAAAACTGAGGAAAAGTTTTTGAGGCATTTATTGAAATCCAGGTTTTTTTTTCTGTACCTTCTCCTTTCACATATTTATTTGCTTAGTACCCAGCGTGTATCTGGCACTCGTCTATGGGAAGTCAGTATAGTAGTGGCCAAAATAGATTTATTCTATATCATCCTTTGTAGAGAAGGCCGAAAAATAGACAAAATAATAATTTAACATAGCGATATGCTCTTAAAAATAAGCAAGTCTGCAGTGTGGTTCGGAAGTAAGAAAGATCTCTCAGTTTAACATTACTCTTTCTGCTTCCATCTCCTATTGCTTACATGACAGTTACTCTTATAAAGGAGTGATGTGTGAATAGGAAACTAAATACTAGAAGGCCATGTCCCTGGACAAGAGCATTATAAGCAAAGGGAACAGCATGAGCAAAAACAGGATAGGGTTAAGTTTCGCATGCTGCTCAGAAAACTGGATAAAAAGTCAACGTATTTAGAATACAGTGGGTGAAGCAAAGTACTAGAAAGCCAAACGTTTAGGGTCATGGATGACTTGCTGGTCTTTTCACTTTCATCATCTAGAGAAAAAAATGTAATTCAATCATGATGTGACCAACCATCAAATATTGTTTTTCTCAGGATTTCCAGCTGTGACTTAAATTCTTAAAGATCTCTTGTATTAGAAATTCACAAATCATGAAAAAAGGGACTTTGGATGTTCATACTTTAGGTATCACTGTATATATAGTGTCCTACATTTTCCTGCTATAATAAAACTATTTTAGCATTTTCTCTGATGGTTATTTTAGACATCAACATGTTTCTCAAACCTTTGCTGTCCCTTTTCTTTCTCACAATTAATAATCTTGCTCTTATTTCATTAAGGAAAGTTAAGCACTGCCTTTTTTTTTATAACTATAAAGGACTGCCTTTTATTTATACCAATAAATCTATCAACCCATCCTAATCTTAATCCACATGATGTATATTTTTCTGTATGACAATAGATGAACAATGTTTGCATTTATTGTGGTTGTGGTGGTTGGTAGTAATTTCGTTTTCATTGTGAAAACAAGCTTTTCACTTGCTTGTGAGATTCCACCTCTTCTTGTAAAGCGAAGTAAAGCAAAAACTAGATGAAATGTGAATTTGGCAACTTGAGGAGAGTTAAATGAAGGAACTGTTTCCAGAACTTCATAGCTAGTAATAATGCACCATAACCAGCCCTAGAGCTGAGAGAGAAGAGAAGGAAAGCCATTAGAAAAGGAATACTTGAAAGAGTTGTAAAGTTGCCCTAGAGTATCAGGGACTGAATTTACCTTTCCATCTGAAAAACTAAAAAAAAGTAGGATAGAATGAGTCAAATGGTTTTTAAAACATTGAACATCAGACAGCAAAGAAGAATCTCTAGTGATGGGAAAGAAATGAGCCAGGCAATTGCCCTATCTTATTATATCAAGACAGTTTCCAGTGTTAGCAGGGGCAGAATTCAGGGAGAGTGGTCTCAAACTCCTTGCTGTCTCCCAGAAGAGTTGAGGAGAGGGAGCTAAGAGTCCATAAAGACCAAGATGGATAGGTGTGGATATGTGCTATGGCTTGAATGGGTCTTCCAGAATTCACATGTTGAAAACTTGGTCCCCTTGTGTGGCAGTGTTGAGAGATGGAGACTCTGAGAGGTGATTAGGTAATTAAGAAAGATTAATACCACTCTCACTGGACTAGGTTAATTCTTGTGAAAGTGAGTACTTGCTCTCATCACCTGGTTTAATTACCACAAGAGTGAACTATTACAAAAGGAGGTCACCCTTTGTGTTTTGCTCTGTTTTGCACACATTCACCTGCCCTTCAGCTTTCCTACCATGTTTTGATGCGGTACAAAAGTCCTCATCAGAAAATGCCACCAGGACCTTGAACTTCGCAGCCTTCAGAACCATGAGCCAAATAAACTTCTTTTCTTTATAAATTACTCAGTCTGTGTCATTCTGTTATAGTAAGAGAAAATAGATTAAGGCAATAGATTTCACAGGACAAGTTACAGAAATAGGACAGCTATGAAGTGAGAATTCTGATGTTCTTTTTGCAGCAAGACAGTATTTATCTGTGCATGTGTGAGGAAGGAATAACCTAAAAAGATTAGAGAAAATGTTACTGAGGGCTCACACAGCATCAAGAAGAGTACTTATTTTCACCAGCCAAAATGGAAAATCTCATAATTCATGAGGCATTAGGTCAAATTATCTACAGGTACTTCCCTTAATAGTGGGAGAGTAACTAGCCCTATCTTCACCACTGATCTGTTTCCACCTAACAAAACTTCAAAACAAAACTAACAAAAGAAAAATCATGATCTCAAACAAATCAAACTGTTTGCTGTACTAAAATGTATCCCAGAACAAAAACTCACGAATATTTATAGGAATGTAAATTATAGGCAATTATACATAAAAATTACAATATCTGACATCCCATAAAAAATAAACAGATATGTAAAGATGGAAAAATACGACTCACAGTAATGCAAAAATATCGACAAAAACTGATCCAGAAATGACGCAGGTATTATGATAAGCATGTATGAACAATGTAACGGTATTATCATTTCAAAACTGTATATAGAGAATGGATAATATAAAAACAAAATTTCTAAGATTAAAATATTGTACTGGAGTATATTCTAGTAAAGCAAGTTTGGTTTAACATTCAAAATACAACAAATGTAATTTATTATATTTACCCAATTAAAAAAATTTTATATGATTATCTCAATATAATGCCCCAAAATGTTTATCAAAACTCAACACCACTGCTTATCAAAACCCAACACCACTGCTGACAATGACTCTCAGAAAACTAGGAATAGAATGAAACTTCCTTCAAGCTGATAACAGTCATCTAAAACAAACTTACAGTTAATATACTTAGTGGTGAAAAGTTGAACTCTTTGTCTCTTAGGTTAGAAACAAGACATGACGCCTCTACCTACCACTTATTGTATTCAACATTGTTTTGAATGTTCTCTCCAGTGCAATAAAGCATAAATACATAAAAAACTAAAATTATGTTTTTCTGGTAGATTGCATCAGTGTTTGTATAGAAAATCTTATCAAATCTACCAAAAAAACCTTGCTACAAATAATAAGGGAATAGGTAAATATCACAGGATACAAGATCAATATTAAAAAGTCTATTTTTCTATATACTAGTAAAAACTATTAGAAAATAAAATTAGGAAACAATACTATGTAAAGTAGCATCAAAAATATGAAATATGGATAAATCTAACAAAAGTGTATACTAAAAACTAAAAGCACTTTTGAGAAAGAAACTAAAGAATAATTTAAATAAAGGTGGAGATGTTCTTTAGTCTGAAGAGTTGAGGTTGTGATGATAAATTTTTTTGAAACTGATTAATAGTTTCAACATAAACAAAGTCCTTGCAGGCACTATTGGAGAGATTAAGAAGCTGACTTTAGCATTTATATGGAAGTGCAAATAATTAAAGATGGCAAACAACTTTAAAAAATAAAAGAATAAATTTGGAGAACTACCACCACCCAATTTAAATATATATTAAAAAGCTAGAGTAATCAGGACAGTATGGTATTGCTATCATGATAGACAAACAGATCAATTAAATGGATTAAATAGTCCAGGAAATGATCCACACATATATGGAAAATTGATTTTGGAAGAGTTGCAAAGTCAATTTAATAGATTAAAAAAAAGTCTTTTCAACAAATAGTGTTAGAGTAATTGGATATCCATATGCCAAAAATTTCAACTTTGATCTGAATCTTACCAAATTTATTTACTCCTAAAACTATAAAACTTCCAGACAAAAATACAAGAGAAAATTTTTTGAAACCTTAGGTTAGTCAAAGATTTCTTGGACACAATATCAAAAACATGCTCTGTATAAATAAAAAAATAAGTTGGACTTAAAGTTAAAAACTTATTTTCAAAAGACACTGCCATGCTCATTAAGATACAAGCTATAGATTAGGGGAAATATTTTTAAATTATATACTCGATTATTTAGACTTTGTCTGGACCATCTAAAGACATTTCCAAACCAAATAACATAGAAAGCAAAACAAATGACCAGAAAATAAAAAACGGAAAACAGATTTGATCTGACATTTCACCATGGAAGACACAGGATGACACATAAGCACATAAAAAGATGTTCAACATCATTACCCATGAAAGAAATGCAAATAAGAATCACAAAGAGATATTACTATACACCTATTAGAAATATTAAAATTGAAAAGATATTAACCATACCTGGTGTTATATAGTATGTGGAGGAAGTAGAACTCTCATATACTATAAAGGGAATGAAAAATAATACAAAAATTTGGCAATTTCTTAGAAATTTGAACATGTATCTACCTTATCATATAACCATCCCATTGATTATTATTTATCTAAGGGAAATAAAAGTAAATGTCCCATACAAAAAAAATGTACATGAATGTTCATGGCAGCTTTATTTGTAATAGCCCAAAACTAGAAGCAACTCAAATGTCCATTAATAGATGAATGGATTAAAATATTTAAAAACCTGAAATAGAGGTGTTACCTTTAAGAACTTATAAAGCTGCAGTAGTATAGTCATTATACTCTGTGTTAGAGCCTCAGAACTTCCTCATTTTTTTAAACTTTTGTTTTAAGTTCAGGAATACATGTGCAGGTTTGGTATTCAGGTAAATTTCATGTTGCAGGGGTTTGGTATACAGGTTATTTATTCAACCAGGTAATAAGCATACACTGAAACAGGTAGTTTTTTGATCCTCACCCACCTCCCACACTCCAACCTCAACTAGGCCCTGGTATCTGTTGTTCTTTTCTTTGTGTGCCTATTAATTTAATGTTTACCTCCCACTTATAAGTGATAACATGCAGTATTTGGTTTTCTGTTCCTGCATTAGTTTGCTTAGAATAATGACCTCCAACTCCATCCATATTGCTGTAAAGAACATGATTTTATTTTTTATGGCTACATAGTATTTCATGGTATATATACCATATTTTCTTCCAGTTTACCATTGATGGACACAGGTTGATTCCATGACTTTGCTATTGTAAATAATTATGTGATTAACATACATGTGCATGTGTCTTTATGACAGATGATTTATATTCCTTTGTGTGTATACCCAATAATGGCTAGATCAAATGCTATTTGTGTTTTAAGTTCTTTGAGAAATTGCCAAATTGCTTTCCACAATGGCTGAACTAATTTATATTCCCACTAACAGTGTATATGCATTCCTTTTTTTCACAAACTTTAATAATAGCCATTGTGACTGGTGTGAGATGGTATCTCATTGTGGTTTGGATTTGCATTTCTCTAATTATTAGTGATGTTGGGCATTTTTTTGTATGCTTGTTGGCTGCATGTAAGTCTTCTTTTGAAAAGTGTCTGTTCATGTCCTTTGTTCACTTTTGAATGGGCTTATTTGTTTTTTGCTTGTAAATTTGTTTAAGTTCCTTACAGATTTTGGATATTAGGCCTTTGTCAGATTCATAGTATGCAAAAATTTTCTGCCATCCTGTAGGTTTGTTTACTCTGCTGACAGTTTCTTTGGCTGTGCAGAAGCTCTTTAATTATGTCCCATTTGTCAATTTTTGTTTTTGTTGCAACTGTTTTGGCTTCCTTCTTATGAAATTTTTGCCAGGTCTTATGTCCAGAATTGTAATACCTAGGTTATGTTTTACTTGTAGGTTTTTACAGTTTTTATAGTTGTAGGTTTTACATTTAAGTCTTTAATCCATCTTGAGTTGATTTTTGTGTGTGGTATAAGAAAGACTTTTGTATAAGGTGTAAAGAAAGTTTCAATCTTCTGCATATGGCTAAACAGTTATCCCTTCACCATTTATTGCTGTCTCCATGCCCCTGTTTCCTTTGTTGAGTGTTCTAGTCCACAGGACTCACTCAGGCAGGGGCCACAGTTGGCAGACAAGCTGTATCCTTGCTGTGTTATTCCTAGTATGCTGTACATGTGCTTGCTGGGAAACTTTCTCATCTTATAACAAAGTTTGTACTCTTTGACCAATATCTCCTCTTTCCCCTACCATCCCCTATATGTGCATTATATGTGTGAATTTATTTCTAGGCTCTCTGTTCCATTAGTCTATGTGTCCATTTATATGCCAGTACCATACTGTCTTGATTACTATATCTTCGTAATGTAATTTAAAATCTGAAAGATGATTCCTTCAAATTTGTTTTTTTTTTTTACTTAATATTGCTTTTATTATTCAGGGTCTTTTGTGGTTCCTTATGATTTTTAAGATTTTTTAAAATTTCTGTGAAAAAAGTCATTAAATTTTTGATAGGGATTGAATTAAACCTGTGGATTGCTTTAGGTAGTATGGATATTTTTACAATAATTCTTCCATTATATAAGAATAGGATTTTTTTCATGGATTTGTCTTCTTCAATTTATTT
Organism: Homo sapiens; assembly: GCF_000001405.40. Lineage (NCBI taxonomy): Eukaryota > Metazoa > Chordata > Mammalia > Primates > Hominidae > Homo > Homo sapiens. Next base: position 59,928,123 of record NC_000016.10, read on the forward strand.
CATCAGTGTCTTATATTTTGGTGTATAGATCTTTCACATAATTGTTTCAATTTATTCTTAAGTCCTTTATTGCTTTTGATGCTATTGTAGATGGGACATTTCTATAATTTATTTTTTCTCATAGTTTGTTGTCAGCATAGAGAAAGGATACTCATTTTTGAAAGTTAATTTCTTTCCTTATGACTTTGCTATAATTCATTTATTCAAAGAGCATGTCAATTTTACTTCTGCCTTTACAATTTAGATAATAAGTAAGGAGATATTTTAATTATTTTTTCCTGATTAATTGCTCTGACTAGAACCTTCAATAATATGTTAAATAGAAGTAGTGAGAGGGGACATCCTTTGGCTTTTCACCATTGAGTATGATGTTAGCTATGGATTTATCATATATGGTCTTTGTTATGTTGAGGTGCATTTCTTCTATACCTAATTTGTTGAGTGTTTTTATTATAAAAGGATCTTGAATATTGGCAAATGTTTCTGCACATATTGAGATGATCATATGATTTTTACCTTTATTAAATTAATGTGGTATATTGTGTTTATTGATTTGCAAATGTTGTGCCATCCTTGCATTCTAGGGATAAATCCCATTTGATCATGGCAAATGATCCTTTAATGTGCTGTTGAATTTAATTTGCTACCATTTTATTGAGAATATTTGTGTCTATGTTTAGAAGGAATATTAGCTATAATGTTCTTTTCTTACAGTGTCCTTATCTGACTTTGTCAACAGGGTAATACTGGCCTTGTAAAACAAATTTGAAAGTGTTCTCTCCTCTTCAATTTTTCGTAAGAATTTGAGAAAAATTTATATTATTTAAATGTTTGGTAGAATTCAGCCATGGAAGACATCAGACTATATTCTTTGTTTGATGAGAGATTTTTGATTATCAATTCACTCTCCTTACTTATTATTGGTAATGATTTCTTCATGATTAAGTCCTGGTATGTTGTATGTTGTTCAATAAGCTCCTTATGTTTCTTCATTCTTGTTGTTGTTGTTGTTGTTGTTGTTGCTCCCACTGGCTAATATTAAATGACTTGTCTTTGAGTTCACTGTTTATTTTTTTCCTGATCCTATCTACTACTATTGAAGTTCTCTATTGTACTTTTTAGTTCATTCATTGTATTATTCATCCCCAGTATTTCTGTTTGGTTCTCTTTCAGGGTTGCTATTTCTGTATCAAACTTCTTGTACTTGATGTATTATTTTTCTGATTTTGTTTATTTGTCTATTTGTGTTCTCTTGCATCTCACTGAGCCTTTTAAAGATAATTATTTTGAATTATTTGTCAGGTAATTCACAGATTTCCATTTCTTTAGGGTCAAATACTGAGGCTTTAATAGCTTGCTTTGGTGATATCACGTTTATCAGGTTCTTCATGATGTGTGGCCTTACATCAGTGTCTGTACTTTTGAAGGAGCAAACATCTTTTAATCCTTAAAGACTGGTTTTGGAAGGTGAAGTTTTTTTTTTTGTCTCTCAGGTCCCAAGGCTAATGGGATTGCCTCTGCAATCTCTGACAAGAAGAGTTAAAGGCAGGTTACATGGCTGTCACTGAGTCTGCAGTGGGGTTCAGTGTTGGTGGGCCTGTTACCAGGGACTCGGGCAGCATGGATCTTTCTTGGTTCCTGGGAAGATGGGACTTCCTTCAGGATCTTAGCCAGTAAAGCTGGTGCTAGGACACAGATCTATTTTGTGGTCTACAGTTAGGTCTTCAGATGATGGGCCTGTTTCCTAGCACATACATGGATAACTCACACCTGGTCCATGACAGGATTCTCACCAAGTCATTTTGTGGGTCCTTAAGTGGGCAGGACAGGCCCTGCACCATGGCTGAGAGTTGATGGAACTGAGTTGCAAGGCTGCTTCAGGATACACAGTGAACTAAGGTCTGCGGATCTGACTCTGGGGTATTAGGTGGCTTTTGATATATTTCTCTTCATTGATTATTTTCAGCAATTTAATTCGCATGTAATGGCCAGACATGTTTGTGTATGTGTTTATTCTGTTTGACTTCATTGAGCTTTGTAGATCCATGGCCTTATAATTTTTATCAAATTTGAAACATTTTCAGCCACAACTTTTTCAGATATTTTTATGTCTTTTTAGTCTCCCTGTTCTCTCTAGGAGACCATTTATATGTATTAGGCTATTGAATATAACTTGCACATCATGAAAACTCTTTTTATTCTTTCTAATCTTTTGTTTTCTCCTTCTTTTGGTTTGATTCTATTGCTATGCTTTGAAGTTCATCATTATTTTTATTTTACAGTGTCTAATCTGCTATTTATCACATCTAATAGTGTCTTAATTTTAGATATTATTGTTTTACTCTATGGAAGTAACATTTTTTTATATTATCAATTTCTCTCATTTCTTCATATTTTTAATTAAATGCTTGTTTATAGTTATAATAGCTATCTTAATATCATTTTCTTTCATTATTTCCATTATTTCTTTGTTTATTTTTATTAAATATTTTTTGTTGGTAATGCATTACTTTTTCTTGCTTCTTGGCATGTATGAATATTTTGATTAGAGATTGGGCCTTATTAATCTTATGCTACTGTTTGGCAGTTAACTTGGCAATTAAATTATTTTGGATAGAATTTATGACTTTGAGGCCTGTTTTAAGTTTTTGTAGTGTATATCTGGGGTAGTCTTTACTCCTGGGATAATTAAGCCATAATTAAAAAATAGGACTCTGCTGAAGCTTCCACCAAATGTCCTGGCTGATCACCAAGGACAATACCTTCTGGCTGGTTAGACTTTAAACAACTCCTTGCCTGGTGTGAAATTTGCCAAATTTTTATCTTACAACTTTATGATATTTTTGTCTAAGACTTGTAGAGTTTCATATTATGCATATATAAGCAAGTATTAAGTAGAGACTTAAAGAAACCCTTCTATAGATTTCTTGTTACTGCATACTTCTTTCTTTCTAGAATGTTTCCCTGCTACTTTTAGCCAGCTAAGCCTCGCTGAATTCTGGTCTCCATGTACTGAATTCAGTGAGACTGCCTGGTTCTGTTTGTGTTTCCCCTCTCTGCACTACAGCCTAGATAAAGCATCCAGTCTAGAAGTCAAGGGCAAATGTAGGACTCAACTCATTTTTCCTTTCTTTCAGGGATCATATGCTCCATAGCACATTGGAAAATGTGCTACCTGCTTTCCAATGTGCAAAAACATTTGTTTTACATTATATATATAGTTTTCTAGCTGTTTACAGTGAGAGATTAAGTTCAGTCCTTGTTCCTTGTTCATGTCTAGAATTAATGGCACACATGTGTTCATGATCTTTTAATGGCTTCACTGAATCAAAACAAAAAGTAAAAACAATAACAAAACACACACACACACACACACACACACACACACACACACACACACACACACACACACAAATCTTACCTTGGCCTACAGAACTCTATATCATCTGGCCTTAGTTATCTCTTCAATCGTATTTTCCAATATTTCCTTTCTCCCTCCATTAGCCATAACCAGAACACTGGCCTTCATTGTCTTCTAGCATAATAAAACAGCTTGAGGCTCTGGGAACATTTACTTTGTACATCTTCTACCTGGAATACTTTTCTCTTACAAATTTTCAAGACTCATTCCCTCAATTCACTAAGGTTCCTGAAGTAAAGTTATTTGGTTATAGCAACTTACTATGACCTCACTATCTAAAAGAACCACTCCTTTTTACTGGCTATCCTCTTTTCCTGCTAATATTTTCTGAATAACACTATTTACCATGTAGTGATGTATTATAGCTTTATTTGTTTATATTTTTTGTCTCTACCATTAGAATGTAAGCTGTTGAAAGAACTAGAATTTGTTATATTTATTGTTGTATTCCCCATGGCATATAGTAGTCCCACAGTGAACATTTCTTTAAAGAAATAATAACATTTCTTGGATATAAAGTACCAGATACTGTTCTCCCTTCAATATTCGGAGAAAGTAACTTAAAATATAAGAAGTGAATTAATAGTGCATTTTTCCCAGTTTATATAATTTAAAATGGAAAGCTTGTTGAGGCCATCTATTTTAATTTTTTGTGATATTTATAAATATAAACATTGATCTTCCTCCTTCTAATTATATGTGATATACTATAATAACTAATGTTGAATGATGAAGTGCTGTGTTTTGCAAGTTTTTCTAGCAGACACTGCTTATGCTATTATATACCAAACTCCATTAGGCTCCTTTTACCCTTACCTGTTTTTGAGCACATTTTTTGAAAACTACCCTTTGAGCCTGCTGTGGTTTGAATGCATTCCCTGAAAGCTCATGTGTTAGAAATTTAATCCCCAGTGTAACAGTTGAGAGGCAGCATGTTTAAGAGATGATTATGTTCTGAGGGGTTCATCTTCACAATTGAATTAATGCCATTATTGCAGGAGTTGGTTACTTACTGTGGAAGTGGATTTCTGATAAAAAGTATATATTTGTTCTGATTTTCTCTTTTGTGCTTGTGCTCTCACCATGTGATGCTTCTGGCCATGGAATGACCCTCACCAGATGCTGGCAGCCTATGGAACCAAATAAATGTCTGTTTCCGTATATTTTGCAAATATAGCAGAAAACAACCTAAGATAGAGTCTTTGCCCACACACAGAGGTATTTAAAAAACCTTATAATTATCAAGGAATGCTCATTATGAAGCTGAAACTCTCATCTCATTTGCACACAAACTCTGAGATGTCACTTCTATTCCAGAGCTCCCTCTGATAAATCAGGATAATGCATCCTAAAATTATTATTTTTTTCTTTTTTAGCAGACCTATTTAGTATCCAGCATCCTAAAATTCTATCCCCTTTTTGTTTTTCTTTCTTCAATGTCCACTCTCTTATCAGTTTCTCCTGGGAGAATTTCTTAGAAGAGCAGGTGCATATGAATCATTCATTATCTAGTTTGATATGTGTATTTGTCAGGATAGGTTAGGTTTATAGAGTCTTAACAAATAATCCCCACATTTTAGTGGCTTAATATATCAGATATATTTCTTCTTAAAGTTATATATTTATCATAGATTGGTGAATATGGGGGGTTGTTTTCTACATAAAACTCTTGGACCTTGCCTAATTCGGTATCAGTCAGGGGCCCAGCAAGTAACAGATTGGATATTTAAATTAGTGTAATTCAAGGAATGTTTCATAGAGAGGTAATTCACTAAGGTATTAGCAGAGTATAAAGGAAACACAAGAAATAGTGCAGCACTGACAAAGATGCTGCCATATTTCACCTGCCCTACCTAAAACATGTTGTTTCTTTGATTGCAGAGCTGGGAAAGGATTCTAAGAAATTGAGCATAAGCTTTATAGTTCCTCATACATCAAAATAATATATATCAATTTTACTCACATTTTATTGGCAGAGCTTGTCATACAGATTCACCTGACAGTAAAGGGACTGGAAACAGACATTTCCAATTCATATGGTCTTATTTCATTCAAATGTGATTTATATTGGCATATCTAGTGTGCAAACAGCAATGTGAATTCTCTTTCAGAAATGTGATATTTATTGTAGAGAGTGTGCCTTTTTTCAAATGTACTTTTCAACTTTTTGAACTTTTATCAGTCTTAAAAGGTAAATGCCTTCAGCTGTCAAGTTATCATATCTCTATTTTTGATCAGTATAATTTTTTAATTTTTGATTGGTGTCATAACAGCATGGCAGATAGGATTCTGGGTAAAATTAATAATGAAACATTTTAAATCAAAGGATTTTAAAAAGTAACTTTCTTTTAACATGAGTGAAGTGACAACTTGTTGACAGATGACTGTTACATGCCCTCTAATCTGGTGAAATGATTTTTTTTGAAGGAAAAGAGCATATCATATCATTCCATGTTAAATTATATGCATTCAATATTTGATATTTTATTCATTCTCATGTGGCTTTGGAAAATATGAGCTATATGTTTCTTCTTTTTTAGAAAAAGATATAAATGTAATAACAAATGTAATTAGTCAGAATAGGTTATATTATGCTGTCATAACAAACAGCCCTAAAAATGTCAGTAGGTTAAAATGACACAGGTTTACTTCTTGTTCATAGTACATTAACTGCACAGGGTAGTTGATGGGCTTATTAGTTCTACAACACCCTCATTCAGAGACCCACCATAAAGTAATTTCGATGTCTGGCTATGCTCTCATGATTGCAAAGGCAGAAACATTAAATATGGGAAATTTTGCATTCCACTTAGAAGTCAAACACATTGTTTCCATCCAGGTTACATTGGTCATTGAAAGTCATATGGCCATATTAACTTCATGAAGTAGAGAAACACAATCCTACTGTTAGATTAAATGGGGAACCAGAAATACTTTGTAAACCATGATAAAGACTGATGTACTTAGGAATAAAATGTAGCTGAAATTTACATTAAGTAATGCTTTGTCATTTCAAATATCTGTAAAATTCATTTAGGTGCTGAAATACCTGTTTAACACATTTAAATATATATTTCTAAGAAAAAAATATTTATCCATCTGGTGAATTGAGTGTACAATGCCACAGAGCATATTTTATACTTTTCTTAAACATTATTTTAGCATAATAAGAATACCTAACTTTACCTTTAAAAGATTTTTAAGTGTGCAATACAGAATTATTATCTACAGGCACAATGCAATACAACAGAGCTTCAGAACTACATGTTGCATAACTGAAGCTTTCTACAGATAGATTAGCAACTATTCATTTTCTGCTCCCCCTAGCTCTTGACAACCACAATTCTCTATTTCTATAAGCTTGGCTCTTTTAGATAACTCTCATAAATGGAATCATGCAGTATTTGTTCTTCCGTGACTAGCTTGTTTCACTTAGCACAATGTTCTCAAAGTTAATCCATGTTGTCACATATTACAGGATTTCCTTCTTTTTTAACGCTGAAGAATATTCCATTTTATGTATATGCCACATTTTCTTTATTTATCCATCAGTGGACACTTACTTGTTTCCCCATATTGGCCATTGCAAATACTGTTGCAAGGATCATGAGAGTGCTAATATCCCTTTGAGATCTTGATTTCAATTCTATTAGATAAATACCAAGAAGTGGGACTACTGGATCGTATGGTAGTTTTATTTTTAATTCATTAAGGAACATCCATACTGTTTTCCAAAGCACCTGCACCATTTTGCATTCCCATCAATGGTGTATATGGGTTCCAATTTCTTCACATCCTCACCGACACTTGTTGTCTTTATGTTATTTTTGTGTGTGTGCTAGCCATCCTAACCAATATGAAGTGATATTTCATTGCTGTTTTGATTAGCATTTCCCTGATGATTAGTAACATTGAAAATCTTTTCATATATCTGTTGGCCATTTGTACAACTTTTTTGAAGAAATGCCAAGTCCCATAGTTCACTCTTCTGTATATCTTAGGATCACATTTATTTATGTCAACATTTTTGTCCCCAAACTAAATAGGCCCAAACACTAAATGAAAATGAGGTGCATGTTGTATTAGCAATGTTTGTAACTATGAAAGAAAAGTATTGTTTCTTCAAGACAAACTCAATCTGGATCATAAAGTTGGTTTTCTGCCACTGTCACTGTGGTGCTTTTGTTTTTATTGTTGTTATTATTGTTTAATATTGGTTAAAACTCAGATACAATGCTACATTCTTTTTCAAATAAACTTTTTATTTATAAAAGTTTTAGATTTATAGAAAAATTACAAAAACAGTACAGAGAGATCCTTTATTACCCAAACTCAGTATCTTCTAACTTACATTTGTATAGTTTGTCATAATAAATGAGACAATATTAATGCTTTATTATGAATTAAAATCCATATTTAATTAATATTTCCTTAGTGGTTTTCTGAGGCCTTTTTTGTTATAGGAGTCCACTCTGGATACCACATTGCACTTAGTCTCTATAGCATCCTCTGAATTGCAAAAGTTTCTTTGACTTTTCTTATTTTTGAAGACCTTGACAGTTTTCATAGGTAATGGTTAGGTATTTTGTAGACTGCCACTCAAATAAGATTTGATTGATGTTTTTTATCACAATTAGATGGTACTTACAGGTTTTAAGGAGGATGATCACACAGGTAAAATGGCATTATTATCAAATCATATTATTATCATTAGATGATACCAAATCCTATCATCAAATCACAATACATAGTATCAACATGACTTATCACAGTCGATGTTGACCTTGATCACTTTGGCTGAGGTAATGCTTGTCTTATTTCTTCACTATAAAGTTACACTTTTCTATTCTCTTTCCACACTCTTCTTTTTGGGAGGAAGTCATTATATACAGTTTCCACTTAGGAGTGGAAAGTTATACTTGTTTCTTTCAGGGTGAAGTATCTCCACAAAGTATTTGGATCAATATATTTGTTTGGATCAAAGATATTTCTGTTCTTTTCAATTTATTTGTTTGTTTTCAATCATTTATTTATGTCAGTAAAGACTCATGGATACTTGTTTTATGTATTAGGTTATAGTTATTACTTCTTTATTTATTGTGTTGCTCGAATTTGGCCATTGGTAGCTCTTCCACTTTACTACAATGTCCCTTTAATGCAACTCCTTCATTATGGGTTTTTGTGTTTTGTTTTGTTTTTAGCATTTTGTTTATTTTCTAGCCCTATAAGATGCTCCATCTACTATATTTTCTAACCTAGTTCTAGAATAAGCCATTTCTTCAAGGAGCCACATTCCTTTTATTTCAATATGGCATTAGTAACCAAGATCTGGGTACTTAGTGAGCTCATTGCTACTGGATTGTTTTTTCTAGGATTTCTTAGCCAACAGAGCAACGATAGGTGATTACACTAGCCCATATATATATGCATGCCTATATATATTTGTAATTTTAACGATATGTATCACCACTAAACTGATATATCACTGCTAAACTGATCTGTTAAACTGCATTCGTATCACTGCTGAGTCACCAACTCTAATTTATTACTACATGGATCATTCTAGCATTATCCTCTTATTTGTTACTTTCTGCTCCAACAGTAAGAAAACTCTCACCATCTGCCATCATTTAGGTAATTTTTCAGTTTCATTATATGTGTATAATGATTTCAGAATTGTTAACACATACTCGTGTGGGGAACAACTTTACTGACTATAATGCCACACTTATATATAATTTCTTTTGTCTTTACCCTTACATATTACTTTCGATTCCAAAGTTGTTAGTACTTTATTTCCTCAACACCTTAAGTAAAACTGTTTCATATAGTTGTAAAACAATAAGATTTTTTCATCACATCCTGCCTTCCATTTTGGGATCCCCAATCTCACTATTTATATGTATATGTATGGTATTCACTCTTACTGTATAGTTCTATGGGTTTGAGGAGTTTAGTGTCATGTATTCAGTATTACATTATTGTACAGAATAGTTTCAGCACTTTGAACGTTATCCTGTGCTTCTCATATTCTCCCCTCACCTTCTAATCTATGCCAGCAGCTGATCTCTTTACCATCTTTATTGTTTTGCTTTCGCTAGAAGAGCATATAAATATCTCCATACATTATTATTAGCAATATGCATTTAAAATTCATCCAGGTCTTTGAGTGATTTGATTGCACATCCCTTTTTATCAATGAAATATACCATTGCATGAATGTACCATAGATTGTTAATCCATTCACATATTAAAGGGCATCTGGATTGCTTTTAGTTTTTTATAATTATCATAAAGTATCTCTAAACACTTGCATACTGGTTCTTCTGTGGACATAAATTTTAAAGCAGTTGGGTAATACCAGGGGCATGAATCCAGGATTGTATGGTAAGACAATATTTAGATTTATAAGAAACTGTCAGACTGTCTTCCAAAGTGGCTACATCATTTGCATTCCTGCTAGCAATGAATGAGATCTTCTTTCGTTGTTCTGCATCCTCACCAGCAATTGATTGTCATTTTTTAAAGATTTTTCTCTTTCTAGTAGTCACATAGTAGTATCTCATTTGTTATAATCTGCATTTCTCTAATAACAAAAGATGTTGAATATCTTTTTATTTGTTTACTTGCTGTCTATACATTTTCTTTAGCAAGGTATCTTCAGATATTTTGCTTATTTTTAAATTGGGTGGTTTTCTTAGTTTTAAGAGTTTTTATATATTTTGGATAGAAGATCTTTATCAGTTATGTATTCACAAGTATTTTCTCCCAGTCTGTGGCTTGTCTTTTTATAAAAGTGTCATTCACACAGCAGAAAATTTAAAAATTTAAAAGTTTAAATTTCAAGATGGGCTTATAATTTTTTGTATTTATTGTGCTTTAGATGTTATATCTAAAAACTCATCACTAAACCCATGATCTTATAAATTTTCTATTTTTTCTTCTACAAATGTTATACCTACACATTAGGTTTATGATCCATTTTTAGTTAATTTTCTGGGTAAGGTGTAAGGCCTGTGTTTTCTAGGTTCTTTTTTTTTTTTAATTTGGACATTCTATTGTTGTAGAATCATTTCTTGAAAAGTTTAGCCTTTCTCAATTGAGTTTCCTTTGTGTCCTTGAGAAAAATAAGTTGACTATATTTATATAGATGTAGTTATGAGATTTTTACTGTTTCATTTATTTATTCTTTTGCCAACGCCATGCTGTTTTGATTACTATAGCTTCATAGTAAGTTTTGAAATATAGTAGTGTGACTATTCCATCTTTTCTATTCTTTAGTATTGTGTTGGCTACACTGGGTCTTTTTCTTTCCATGTAAACTTCAGAATCTCTAAATAGCATGCTGGGATTGTGATTGAGATTTCGTTGAATCTAGAGATCAAGTAGGGAAAAATTGGCATCAACAATATTAAGGGGCTTGTTATGAATAACAAAAGATAACCCCTATCACTCAGAAAATTCCAAGATTTTAGGAGCTCTGTGCCAGAAATATGGGCTAAAGACAAAATATATTTAAAAGTTATCCTGCACTTAGTATTCCCAATTCTTCCCTCTTATTCATTGTGACATTAATGCTGTTCATTTCACTTATTCACATGCAATATTTTGCTACTATTATTGCCATTATGGTTTGAATGTACGTGTCCCTCCAAAACGCATATGTTGGAATTTAATACCCAAGATAATAGTATTGAGGTGATGCCCTTGACAGGTGATTAAGCCCTGAGGGCTCTGCTCTCATATATGGAATTGGTGTCCTTATAAAAGGGCATTAGGAAAAGAGTTCATCTCTTTCTTGCCCTTCTATCTCATCTGCCATTTGAGGACACAGCAAAATGGTGCTATCTTGGAAGCAGAGAGTGAGCTCTTAGCAGACACAGAATCTGCTGGCTCCTTGATCCTGGACATTTCAGCTTTCAGAACTGTTTAAGAGATACATTTCTGTTCTTTATAAATTAGGAAACCAGTCTAAGGTGGCATGTGGTCAGAGGTGGGGAAAGGGGGCTATTCCACAATCTTACAATAAAATCTCAGGATTTTATTGGGGCTATATCTTGGGTCTATGACCTTTGCAAGCATTCAGTGTCATAGCATTCTCTCCTCACCATGCCATCCCTTTCTTGTGTGCAGGATTCCCAGTCTATCTCCTTGAAGTTCTGAGTCCTGTTGACTATGTTGTTTCTTTTTCTTCACCATAGGTGAGACAAAAATGCAAGATAGGGATAAAGTAGGACAAACTTCCTTTTTCTAAGTGAGATAAGGCTCTGGGAAAATATTTAATCCTTGGAGATTTGGCCTTTGTTATAAGGAAGACTTGGTGTGTGTGTGTCACATGACTGGTCTTTCCTCGTCTTGCCAGAGCCCTGTGATTATCTTCCTCAGATCTTCACTGTGAGAACCTAGTGGAGTTTCTTGGGATAAATTCTATAAAAGTGTATCCCTCCAAGACTGCAGCCACCAGGAGCTTCTCACTCACTCTACTCCATGGTCAGCCTCTAGCAATTTGTCAAAATTACCATGGAAATGTTTCTACCAGTTTGTGCCTTCAGTGGCTTCTGCTCCATGTAAACAAATCTCAGCTATGTCTTTCTGGATGTACCTGTCTTTCCAGAAATTGGGGTGGTATTTTTTCCTGCAATGTCACATCTTTGATAGGTCCAAGAAACGTCATTGATTATAAGTTTGACTAACTTTGTCTTGTAGGTTTGTGAGCGTTGACTTCCAAAATCTTCAGATGTTGGAGCTGAAAATTCTATGTTCATTTTTAGCTATTTGAGCAAAGTATGAGAAATTAAGCAAGGACTATTATTTGTTGAGGTATCTCTAAGTGCTTTTGAGTTTTGTATGTTTCTAGATGGTATATGTGTTTGGATTAGGTATCTAATCCAAACCTTAGGTATCTAAGGCTTTGGTTTTCAATTATTCATAAACATAAAAGTATATATTTTAATGATAATAAAATTAGAATACATTATTAAATCAGGAAAAAAATCAAGAAAAGTTTTATAATACATCTTTATTTCCAAATTTCCCCTTATTTTCTCCCTAAACCAAAACAGGATATTTATTACCATTTCCTAGAATGTTGCATTGGGAAATTAGTTTCAGTAGAATGGTTTTTATATTAGATACACACCTCAATTTACATGCCATGTTCTGACATAACTCTTTATAATTCCTTGGTGAAGTTTGAAAGACAACTCATCTTTCCAAAATATAAATGTCTGTTATTCTTGGAAGGACAATAAACTTTCCATCCTTTTTTTTATTCCAACACATCGTATCACAAAGTGAAATAGTATCTAAAAATATGAGATTTTTCAAATGAAACTTTGTGTTATTGATAGCTTATTCTTGCCCTCATCATTCTATCATTCAAGGTTAACATTAGAGACCTCACAAAATGTTGTTTAATGTTTATTACTTTAACAAAACATGGAGTTCTAACAAAGCCCTATATCGATATATCTGCCTTAAATTAGATTTTTTAGGGAAATATACATATATATAATTTCTATTAGTGGAAACCTTGAGCCAATTTATATTTGCATATACCTTCAAAATGAACTTGGTACCTTTATTGTTAATATATTAAATATATTATTAAACTTTATGAAGTTTCTATTAGTCATTCTGTTTGCATTTCATACTATTTAAAGAGCATGGAGAAATAAAACCCCAAATAGAATAGTGAATAATTTGTAGGTGTATTTCATTTAGAGTTATTCAGAACTTACTGGCTGCACAATCTTATGATTGTCCAAATCCTCAAAAATATTGACTAACTGTTCTGTTTATAAACTAAAATGCATCTTTAAAATCAAATGCAAGCTCTGTGATTTCTTTGTTCTATGCCACCCAATTGTTTGTTTGTTTGCTATTTTGATTTGCTGCTATTTGAGTCACTTGTTTAATCAAAAAATCCATGTTGTCTACCAGAACCTGGAGTTCCCAGGAATCTACAGTCTTAATGGTGGCATAAAAATTACTAACAGTTTTTACCAAGAAAGGTTGCCTTATGAAAATTTGTTAAAGAGTCATTGAACTCGACTTGCATTTATCTCAATTGATCGATTGCACTTACACCAGCAATTTTCATATTTGTTACAATATACACAGAAAAGAAAAATAGCTGAGGGTATAAATTAGTTCATATTTGCTCTAACTACAAACATGAAAGGGAGTACATTAAAGCTAATCATCCTTCCATTACCTTGTCATTGCCACATTTTTACTGATACACGATGTGAAATGAAAAACACAGAGAGCTTTAAGAGCATGGTGATGATGGAGTGGATGAGTGATCAGCTTCTCTCTCTTGCTTGCTTCAGTATCCTGTCATTTGGGCTGTGTAAATCCAGGACTGAACCACAGGATTTTGGTTTCTTTATGAGAAATAACAAAACCTGGGCTTTGAGAACTAGTGAGGAATTGAATAGACAAAGCGTTAATATTTTTGAAGATTGTATTAATGTTATAAAGACCGGAAATATATCATTCTAATTTCACAAATACATTAGCTATTATAATGATGATAAACTTATCTCAAAAATTAAAAAAAAGACAATATCTAGTAAAGAAACATAATCTAATTTTGTGAAAAACATTTGTATTAGCGTTCAAACTTCTCGAAGATATATAATGTTCTTAGGAACAATAGAGCTATATGGAGACTGAGGAAGTAAGTGGTGCAAGGGGTTAGGCTTATTTGACACTTTGTCTTAATAAATCATCTTTCCATTTTATTTTTATCACTTTAATCATCTTTTGAAAGAAGGGTATCCAAACACTAACCTGCATAATACTGTTTATGTGGTAAGTTCTGAGTATCCCAAATGAGCCATTCTCTACTGAATGAGATCTGTTTTGTTTCTTTTTTTCTCCTATTGACAGCAGAATCCCTAGCTCATTTCCTGCCAAGTAATCTACATCATCTGAGAAGAGTTTTCTACATATGAGTCTTTAGTACAAATCTCCATGGATTTTAACCTATCTAGATGGTAACTTGTTATAAATAGTTCTTTTAAATTAATTGATTTAATAATTTTACTACCACTAAGGCATCCTTGTGATAATACTTTGGTTAGAGGCACGCACACACACTCACCTAGGTAAGGCTAAATTACTAATACCTACTTACCTAGTTAAGAATACAAAGACTCCGGTGGCTCACGCCTGTAATCCCAGCACTTTGGGAGGCTGAGGCAGGTGGATCACGAGGTCAGGAGATCGAGACCATCCTGGCTAATACGGTGAAATCCCATCTCTACTAAAAATACAAACAAACAAACAAACAAATTAGCCGGGCGTGGTGGCGGGCGCCTGTAGTCCCAGCTACTTGGGAGGCTGAGACCGAGAATGGCGTGAACCCGGGAGGCAGAGCTTGCAGTGAGCCGAGATCGCGCCACTGCACTCCAGCCTGGGAGACAGAGTGAGACTCCGTCTCAAAAAAAAAAAAAAAAAGAATACAAAGACTCTTCAGAATGGAGGTGTCCCCAAATGGCAGGCATAAATGTAGCTTATCTCAACATGGCAGGCACCCTTTATCCTGGGATTCCAGGGGTGGCATCAGCTAGTACTAAAATTGTCCTTGGAAAGATATGTTTTCTCCAGACCTGACAGAGCTGAATACTTAACGTTCTGCTGCATTTTTAACCATGAAGATTAAGTTGCCATTTCAGGAGAACTTACGCTAGTAATCTATGCCCTTACTTTTCAGATGTTTATAAATATCCATGTATTCTTCATTCATTGATTTGAAAAATATTTATATTTGTTGTACCTAGCACTAATCAAGGCAGTTTGGATGCAGCAGTTAAAAAAAATAAAAAAAAAAAAGTAAAAGAAAAATAAATTCTCTCTTTGGTTGGAAGATAGAAAATAAATCACATAAGAAAATTACATATTACATATTAAGCTATAGGGAGGTAAGAACAAGGGAGGGAAGCCAAGTAGATAATTGGGACTAAAATGCCAAGGTGGTGGGTTCAGGATGGATATAGAGGTGTCGTAATCTTTAAAAAGTAGTCAGGGCAGGGATCTTTGAAAAGATGAATTTAAGCAAGGAGAGGAAGGGATATGCTGTTTAAAAGTATTAAGGGTAAAGCGTCCCAGGCAGTAGGAACAACAAATGCAATGGATCTGAGAAGAGATGGTGCCAAGGATGTTCAAGGAACAACTCTACAGCAGCCAGGGGTTGGGTGCAAGATGAGATTTATAACAGATGATCAAGTAGAAAACCATCAGCCAGATCTTAACATGGCATTGCAAGCAGAACAACTTTCATTCTGAGTAAAATGGTGAGATGTTGGAGGATTCTAACTGGGACAGCTACATGATTGGATGGCTTTGTTTGTTTGTTTGTTTGTTTGTTTGTTTTGAGACAGAGTCTTTGCCTGTCACCCAGGCTGGAGTGTTGTGGTATGATCTCAGCTCACTGCAACCTCTGCCTCCTGGGTTCAAGCGATTCTCCTGTCTCAGCCTCCTGAGTAGCTGGGACTACAGACGTGAGCCACCATGTCCAGCTAATTTTTGTATTTTCAGTAGAGACGGGGTTTCACCTTATTGGTCAGGCTGGTCTTGAACTCCTGACCTCATGATCCGCCCTCCTTGGCCTCCCAAAGTGCTGGGATTACAGGCGTGAGTCACTGTGCCCTGCTGATCCAATGATATTTTTAATGCAACACTTTGGTTGCTGTTTTGAGAATGGAATGTTTGGGAAGAAGCAGAAACTGACAGAGCAGTTAGAAGCTGTTGCTATAATTGAGGTGAGAGATGATGGTGGCTCTGGCAATGGAGGTTGTGGTTGAAATCGTGAGGATTAGAATCCAGACACATTTTAAAGATGTAGACACCAATATTTGCTGATGAATTCCATTGTGAAGTCTAATTCAGACCCTATAAGAAGATATCTTTATTCAGGGGCAGAAAGCTCAGGCAGTGACTATGTGTGTCTCATTAAGTCTTCAGAAGAAGTTTTTCTGCAGTCTGGAAAGCCTGTTTTTCTATAATTACGAATGAAAAAAAAATCAGTGTCATTTGACACACAAAAAAATTAAGATAGTTATAAAAATAAATACAAAGGAAAAGCAACCATACAATTATATTCTAACAAGGCAATGTTCTTGTATGCGGGCTTTGCACCGTAAACCTACTCTCTGTTAGATTCAGCAAGTCCTAGAAGTTTAGGTCAAACTTCTGAAATTTTTGATGTATTCAAAAGGGGTGAAAGGTTTATTGAAAGGAAGATGACTTTCTCAATATAGTATTTAATTTTATATTTTGCTGTGCTATTATCTGAAATCATTTTATGTACCACATGCCGAATGAGTTTGCACATTTATTTAAATAGTGGTTCACAGCACCAGTGTGTAAGCATATGTAGCCACAAATCAATTCACGCGTCCCACATTATGATCCTGCATAGAATTTGTGAATGATTCACATTAGGATTTCCTTCAATGCCTCTTCTGGCCTTCTTATCAGTCTAGTTGACCTTTGTTTCATCATTCATCATACTATATTTGTGATCCCCTCGTGGCTCTGTAAACACTTCTATTTATCCCTATGTTCTAACCATTCACAGTGAGACATTACTTATTTAAAAAGTTATTGTCACTCAGCAGAAATCTTGATTATTTAGGATAAATCATTGTAATGTTATAAGGTTTACAGAGTTTTAGTAACTAGTAGTCAAATGTAGAGTTATATTTTGTTAGGACAAAAAGCATATTTTCCTAATGTATTTTTTACAAACTGAACTTCAAGAATGGGATCAATTATGATTTTCATTTGAATTTACGTATTTCCAGTTCCAAAGACAAAAAATGTATGGATTTAGTGACAATTGACTGACAAGGTTTTCAGAGTTTTTTTAAATCAAAAATTACTGGACACATTTGACAAAAAGTTTATGAAACAAAGTATGGATGTATGTGGGAAACCTATTGACACTAACCTAACACTTAGTAAATTTTACATTAGGTAATTCAATTTTTATCATGTAACCATATCTTTGTGATCAAGAAAATTGTGGGTATTACTACTGACATCACTTCTTGCTATCTAAAATCACTCTCATGTTCATTATTTGATGTAATCCATGATACTTAAATGTGTTTCTATGCTGACATTTTAACCCAGAAATTAAGACACATGACTGAACAGATTAAAAAATAATGACTGTAAGTATCTCCCAGAAAATAACAGAATTCTTCAAATGTTTGTATTTTTCCTCCAAACTACAAAATCCTTGGGGAGAAATCATGTGCATTTCTCACTATTGTAGGCTTAGTGCTTAGCACAGTGCCTGGCACCTAGTAAAGCCCAAATTAAAATATATTCTCTGCAGTGAAGAATGGTTTATTGATTGAGTGACTGAATAAATGAATAACAGTTGGTATATTTTACATAAAATAATTTAAAGGAATACCTGTTTTCCTCTGAACACATCCACACATTTGTATTTCTTTGGGGGGAAAAAAACACACATTCCTGTTCATGGTGAACTGCATTTGCAAAAAAGACTGAAGTTTATTTTAATTAACCAGAAAATAATAGACAAAAAATGATTTCTCTGGCCATGTGAAACTCCTTGCCTCTGTCACTTCTTCAGAGGTAAATGTATTTGTTCCAGTGACCTATTTCTGTATATGAAACCATAACAAAACAATAACCATTTTATTGCATGCTGTGATTTTGTTGGTTAGAAATTCAGTCAGGGCTTGGTTGAGTGATTCTTCTGTCTACATGGTGCTGTCAGATGTTGGTCAATGGTTTTAAGATGGCAAATGACCAAAGGGCCCGGGACAGCTTCATTCAAATGTTCAGGGCTCGTCAGAGTTGGTGCATCTCTCCAATCAGGATTATCTTGGAGTCAGTGGACTTGCCATGTGGTGACTCAGGGATTCAGGGATGAGTTTTCCAGCAAACAAGGAAGAAGCTACATGGTCTTTAATGAAGCAACCTCAGAAGTCACATTGTATCATTTCTGCCATATTTTAATGTTTAAAGCAGTCATCAGCCTGTCCAAATCCCAAGGGATGGGGCTTACCACATTTCTCATGTGGAAGAGTGTCAAAGAATTTGCAGTCATGTTGTGAAACTAGTAGTTTATCTCTGATAATATATAGACTTTCTGCAATGTGCTTAGCACATGATGTAATTCTGTCAAAATGTGATATGGTTGTAAAAGTAAAATAACATATTATTTTTTGATTCAAAGTAGTCAACTTTTGGGTGAAACTATCAATGCTCTTTTATGTTAAAGGTATGGAATCTGGAGCTGCATGGTTCTGAGTTGTTCCTAAAGTGCTTGAATTCTAGATGGAAAGATAAAGCCAACCTATATAAAAGGAAGTCATGAGAAGCTATATTGTGTGTTGAGCTGCTGTGATTGGAGTTGTGAACCAATCCCTTATATCCTTAAACACCTCAGACGTTGTTGCGGGAATTAGTTAAGAAAGCTTCTCTGCTCATATTTTTTTAAGGTTGGAAGCTTTACCTATTTATGGATTTGGGTGGCTCTGCCTAGAAACATTTACATGGTTTCCGTATTTCGGCCTTAAGGCATGAGAATAACATACTTTGAATCAGTATCCCTACCAACACTACAGAGAAAACTACTAATATAATAACTTTATAAACCAAAACATTGTGAAGGAGAAATGAGGGGAAAAAAAGGGCTAAATTTGAAATGTTGGACAACATCAGTGGATCTAGACAAGAACACTTTTTTAAAAAAGAGATAGTCTCACTCTGTTGCCTAGGTTGACATGCAGTAGTGTGATCATAGCTCACTGCAGCCTTGAAAACTTCTGGGCTCAAGCCATCCTCCCACCTCAGCCACCTAACTACTTGGGGCTGACTGAGAACACTTTTTAATATTTGTAGTCTTACGGTAATAACTTGGCTTAAAAGGGAAGAATGAAATTATTAATTCTCTCATATGTATATTTATGGAGAGTTTAGTTTAATTCAGTGTGGCCACTGGAATCAGGGATGCACACAGCCTAATGTTCAAATACGGGGTCCAGTTATTTTCACAGCATCCTCGGGCAAGTTACATGACCCATCTGACTTTCATTGATCTCACCAGTAGAATGGAGATGATAATAGTATAAAAATGATTGCATTGTTGGTTAATGAAACAGTATGCACTGAGAAAGAGAAAAGCAGTCTCTAACATAAGAAGCTATACTGCTACTATCACCTACAAGTTGTCTCAGCACTCACTGCTAGGAGTTGCTCTTCTAGTGTTGAAAATAAATGATTTCATAGAATATCAACATCAGACAAGAACACTGTGGTCATGATGGATCAAGATGAAAACAAGACCCTCCATAATCAAGTCTAAAAACTGACAAAATATGAATATTATCCAAGCCACAAAATACCAAACAACTCCATCTCCCAGCTAGTGTGACTGACTGCTGCTGTTTTTTTTTTTTTTCTTCTTCCCAATTACAGCTTTAGCCTCCCTCTATTTGACCTTCCCTACACACAGGAGTTGATGAAATGCTCAAGCATAGAACCATCCCCACTCTCTGACATTCCTAACAAAGAGCAAGGCCCTTCTTTTTTGGATCTGCTACAACCCAACCAAAGCACAAATCCTATCATAAATCCCTCTTAACAGGTTATTACTGAGATATTTCATGGCTCCTCGTGGTGTGAGAAACCACACACCATGTCTTTTGCTGTGAGTAATAAATACAACTTGTTGAACCATAGATATTTACTTGGTGGTTTTAGCTGGAGGTCCTTGACAGTATGACTGTTATAAAGCTGTTAATAAAGTAAGTATAAATAAATGTTAGCTGCTATTATTGTTACCATTAGCATTAGTATAATTAATATTATATTTTCCTTATTTTTTCTTCTTTTCTGTCTATAAGAATATATTAGTCACAGATTATATACCAGAACCAGCACTGGCAGGCAATAAATTTTTAGGATGTGTTGTTTGAACACACACAAGACAGAACTTATTAGGACAGAAAATGTGAGGAATGGGGTGGAGGGGAGATTATCGGGTGTGGAATAAGCACAAAATGTGTAGTGGGGAAAGCGGAAGTCTGTCCTAGATATTTTTTTGCAGGAAAATGTTCAGCTGAAAGATTTCATCTAATATATTAAGAACACTAATTGTCAATGAATTACAAATAACTACATAGACAAAATGGTAGTCTCTGATGCTTTTTCCAGAAACAAAGTTAGTTCAAATTAAAAATGTATGGTAATTTATGTTTGGGGAATTTGAAGGCAGTTCAAAGTCAATGGCAATTTATCCTACTACATGATCAGTATCATTGATTATGTAATCAGCATATTAGCAAATGCATTCAAAATTTTCCAATATTCATGCAGTTTTAGAGCTTAACTAAAAGGCTTATTTAAATTACGTTGAGAAGAATGTTATATTCTTAATTGGGACATTGCAATGAATATTCTAGTTTGCATAGTTGGATAATTTTCAAATAGTGTGCCTAGGTTAAGAAATCTAAAACCTGTACAACACCAAGCCAGTACACCTTTAATAAAGAGTAAATTATTTTTAAATGCTTGCTTTTTTAAAAAAGAGGTATATTTTATTTTGTATTTTTTGTATTTTTAGTAGAGACGGGGTTTCACCATCTTGGCCAGGCTGGTCTTGAACTCCTGACCATGTGATCCACCTGCCTCGGCCTCCAAAAGTGCTGGAATTACAGGCATGAGCCATCGTGCCTGGCCGAAATGAAGTATATTTTAATAATAGTATAAGAGTATCACAAGGATGCAGTTTAAGTATGTATAATTTTAAAAGCTCCCCATTTGAGTCATACCTTGATCACCTTGAAATACTCTAACATTGAAACTGTGGAAAAAACACTGGATTGGACTCAAACCTACCTGGATTGTTTAATCCTGGTCTTTTACTTACATTTGTGGTAACTTCAGCAATTTTGTTAAGCACAGCATCTTAGATTCCTTAACTGAAACATCATGATTTTAATTTTTCACTAAGGTATGTGATGATCATGAAAATTGAGTAAAAGAATGCCATATCTTCAGGACTTGGTGTTAATAAATGAGTAGTTATATTCCTGTAAAAAAAAAAAAAAAAGCATGTGAAATTCCAAAATTAAGCATCAGCTGCTTTGACAATGTAAATCCACATCCTCACCTCATTTCAGCATCAGTAATAATCTTGAACTAAGTGACTAACACTTAACAGGGTTCTAAGTAAGAGTCGGTCTTGGAAGCCCAGAGATGCAGAATCAGAACATCTCATTACAAAGCTGTGAAGTACTTTCAATAAGACAGTAAATTCCTTGGTGAAAGGGAGTGAATCTCTGCATTATCAGTATTTAGTTTAATGCAATGCTTATTGTAGACAATCAATTCATGATTTTTTGAAACACAATCACCAACTTTAGGGCCCTTATGAATCGTCTACTCTAACCACATTGTGTCAGAGTAATTCTCTTGATCTGTTCCATTGGAAGAGTCTCTTCTTTTCTTGACTTCACTTTCCTATTGTTCATCTTTCTCCAAAATCCTGAGGAAAGTTTCTAATTTATCGATGGGTAGCATAAAAGGGTTATAGGATATAGCATTACCTACTGTCTTGGGTTCATGGATCAATAATTTGCATGGAGCCCAATAAAATACACCACCAATCCATAAATTTCAATCCATCCAAAAGATGCTGGGCAGCCTTTTCCAAAGGGGGTAGTTGGTGGTGAGTTGCTTGAGGACCTGTTTTCTCAGTAGCTACTTCCTTGTTTAAAAAATGATCTTTCAAAAAAGACCTTTGAAACTTCTTTATCAAGGACCCTGAGCAAAATGGCAAAATTGCTCCCTTGTCCCATGCAACAAACACAAGTTCTCTAACACCATTCAACTCTGCAAGCCAATGTTGAACATGAATTTATTTTTGTTTCCTCCCCCAGACTAATTTTATTCTTGTGAAACATCTGCTTAGTTTTTAATCTCCTGGACTAACAGTCATTACTCATTTGTTTATGGACCAAATGATTCACATCAGTGTAAATAACTCCTGTAATATTGTTCTCTCAATTGAGTGACTCTTCAACAAAACCATAATGAGTAGGATGTGTAACTTCTGCTAATCTTGTTTATTATTTGTGGGCCATGCCAATGGTTTCAGTTTATTAAGATTTCTGGCAGGAAAGCAGAACTCACAGCCTTCCAATTTCAGATGAGCTAACATTCTTAAGAATCTTGGTAGACATTTTTAAATATAATCCTCGAAGCTACATAATTTTCGCATTCCACTAGCAGCTCCTAAGGTCTTTATATTTCTAATCTGCTTTTGGAAACTATAGGTAAACCATGACATTTGGCTACTATCCTGTTGGAACCAAAGGTTGTGCACTCTGGCCAACCCTCTTGGATTTAAGGAAGAGTCCCCAAGGAAAAGAAGTAGGTTTTATATTTCAAGGTATGCATATCCACAAAATGCAGTACCAATTTTTTTATCCAAAGCTATTCTCTCACACCCTTTCATTCTTTCATATTTTTTTTCTTTTGAGGACAAAAATTGATTTGAATTTTAATTTTTTAAAAATAGATTGATCATAGTGACAATGGAGAAAAAATAAAACAATCATGCGTATTCTGATATTTCTAATAGGGAAAACTTGGAAAATGAGTCCACTGATGAATAATCCAATGGATACAGAATTCTTAATCGTTAATAACCCATTAAAAGGGTAATGTCACAATCAAAATGTTTCTATACAGATTTATAAAACTCACAGGACAATGTTGATATTTAAATATTCTTATTAAATGTAGTATTTAATAAGAATATAATATAAATTATAAATTCTTATTAACATTCTTAAGTATTCTTGTATTCTCTTAGATTTTTAGCAAAAGAAAAATTGTTGCTAAGAAGGCATTTTATTCATAATTCTATTAGACAATGATGTTTGCTTTTCCACTGGCCAGACAGAAAATCCATCAAACAACAATAAAAAAAGCAGGGAGCATTAACAATGCACTTAAGAATAAAGGAATTACCAATATGTTTAAGATGTGTCCCTGCCCTCAAACAGTGCACATTTTATAACACCAGCTGGTTTCTAAACATAGGCAGGGAGCCATGGCTCACACTTCTAACCCCAACATTTTGGGAAGCTGAGGTGGGAGAATCACTTGAGCCCAGGAGTTTGAGACCAGCCTGGACAACATAAGGAGACCCCATGACTACAAAATTTTTTTAAACATAAAAAATAAAAATTAGCTAAGGGGGTGGTGCACACCTGTGGTCCCAGCTACTCGAGAGGCAGAGGTGGGAGGATCACTTGAGCCTAGGAGTTCGAGGCTGCAGTGAGCCTGGGTTAGAGGGTGAGACCCTGTGTCAATAAATGAATAAGTAAATATAGATAAATATTAATTATGCATTCTGAGAAGCATTTAATACCAATGGTTTGTCAAAGTAAAGCAGAGTCCCAAGAAGTAGATGCCATTTGGCTTCATAAAGCGTATTTTTTTCCAATAAATGAATAAAGTTATTCAAATATTTACTGAATGCCTATTTTGTGACAGGCACTATTTGGACTAGAGATAACTCATGAGTAAAATCAGACACAGTCACCGTTCTCAGGGAGTTTACACAGAGCTTGAAGAATGGGAACAGGACTCAGGGATTTGGAGAGGACATCCGAGAGGGAAAATAATGTACATTCTTGTTATGGCATTACTATAAATAACAGGCAACAAACAGGTCTTGAGCTCATTAAAGAAAGGAACTGGGGGCTGGGCGTGGTGGCTCACGCCTGTAATCCCAGCACTTTGGGAGGCCGAAGCAGGCAGATCACGAGGTCAGGAGATCGAGACCATCCTGGCTAACAAGGTGAAACCCTGTCGCTACTAAAAAAGCAAAAAAAAAAAAAAAAAAATTAGCCGGGCGTGGTGGCAGGTGCCTGTAGTTCCAGCTACTCAGGAGGCTGAGGCAGGACAATGGCGTGAACCCGGGAGGCGGAGCTTGCAGTGAGCGGATATCGTGCCACTGCACTCCAGCCTGGGCAACAGAGCGAGACACCGTCTCAAAAAAAATAAATAAATAAAAGAAAGGAACTGGGTTTTAGCGTTTACTGAACCCCTAATACCTACCTTGGCACAGAAGGCATTCATTATGTAGTCATTAAGTGAATACATGGCTGAATGAGAGAAATACACACTGCTCCTAAAATACAAATAGGTAATTAACTAAGGACATCTCAATACAAAGCATCATTTGATAAATACTTTTTTAAAAAGGTCCCATATATTATAAAGAAGTAGATTGAAAGCATCTACTCATTCCATGTGTGCCTGAAAGTTCAGAAATTCTTTTGAGCAACGACTAGAAAGGCCAAATGGAAACACTGTTGAAACCTGCATGAGTCTAGGCAGGTATAGGAAAAATAAAGCCTGAGAGGATTATTTCCAAGGACAATAGGATTAAGGCTCCTGTTTTCATGATTTTAATCCATCATAGCAGAGAAGAAGGCAGCTCTTCAGAGCTTTAACAAATGTTAAACTCTCTTTGCTTTGTGTATAAAGCACTCCACACCTCTGCTCCCTTTAGAAGAGAAGCTGATGAGGTTCTAGCCTGAAAAGTTCAGAAACCCATAGAGTAATATTAGTGGTTTCTAAGTCTTTGGTACAAGAACAAAAACAAAATGGAGGAGACGCTGGGCCCTGAAGGAGTTTGGCGAGTTAATGAGTGATGGCCTCTTTCCATTTTCTGATATTCAATTGAGCCACAGCAGATGGGCAGAGGCTCCATGGGAAAAATGAATTATGCACATCAGACCGTTGTTGCGTTTCTCACAATCATATTTTCATCACTTCACCTGTTGTATGTCTTGGGCTGATTAGTTATGCACCTCATCTCATATTGGCATTCCTGGTTCAGAGATAATCTTTAATTGGTTTTTCCCTTCCATATGTGAGTCTGTTAAAGATTTTTGTCTCTCCTTTCCCTCGTGAAACAAAGTTTGCACACTGACTTATTTTGGAGAGGATGATGGTGATGGCTATAATATTAATATTTATTGTGAGACTTGGATGGAATGATTTGTGAGCAAAGCATATTCTAAGTAGTAGGCAAGAGGAAAGTTTATTGGTGCTAGTATCCATCCTGTGCTTAGGGAATGGATATTTTATAAGACACTTTTTGAACCAAAACAACAAAGTTGGCAAAAGTTACTGTATCAGGGTAGATCAGACATCAGATTAATTAAAGTCTTGCTAAAAGGCACATTCACCTGCTTTCTATTTGACATCTCCACAATTAAATTCATCATTTTACTTCCTAAAACTCTTCTTGCAACTTTAAGATCAGATAAGGATTTAATCATCAAGGAAAGCAGGACCTTGTTGTGGAAAGAGCTTAATTTGGGGTTTAAATCTGGTTTTGGATGCTTATTTACTGTGTAGATGTAGGCAAGCCACTTCATACGTCAATTTCTGAATACTGCTTCCACCTTCAAAGGGTTGATGAGAAGATAAAGCAAAACAATGTGGGTGATGTCCCTTACAATGCTTGGGGAGAAAATAAAAGAGCTGGATCTGTTTAATAAAAGATTGCTGAATCTGAAAGAATGTAGTAGAAAGTGAATTGTACTAAAAGTTAATCCTTATCTGAGATTTTTCTGTAATATTGGGAAAGCAAATATATCTATGGAATACTTTTTGTCTGAACAAAACCAGTACATATTTACAGTGATTTTGCAGAAGCAAGGGTAGGAGTTTCACAACCCTACCCATTTGGAACTCTCCCCTTCCCCACCACACATTGGAGTCTGGCCGTTTGGCTCAGCAATCTCTAAGGTCCTTTTCATCTCTGGGATTCTCTGAGAAAAATAATGCATTAATATAAAAAATTATGCATCTTAAATGTAGATCCTTATTTTTGTCAGGATCTATTCAGGGAAACAGAAACCATAAAAAGCATGTAGGATGGGTGCAGTGGCTCACGCCTGTAATCCCAGCAGTTTGGGAGGCCGAGGCGGGTGGAGCACCTGAGGTCAGGAGGTCAGGAGTTCAAGACCAGCCTGGCCAACATGATGAAACCCCGTCTCTACAAAAATACAAAAATTAGCTAGGCATGATGGCAGGTGCCAGCTACTCAGGAGGCTGAGGCGGGAGAATCCCTTGAACCCAGAGGCAGAGGTTGCAGTGAGCTGAGATCGTGCCATTGCACTCTAGCCTGGGTAACAGAGCAAGACTCTGTCTCAAAAAAAGAAAAAAAAAAAGTATGTAAGTCAAGGGGATACAACAATGGGAAAATTTATTACATGGGTGATAGAATTGCTAAGAAGCCACGAGAAGATTGGTGCAACTCAGAGACTGACAAAAGCCTTTACCACCCTAGGCAGGAGGTACCAAGGGAGGGGCAGAATTACCAGATTCCAAGGGCTAGAACCATAGTTTGAAGGCAGCTAGAACCACGAATGTAATTTTGATGCTCTCCAGATCCAGGCTGAGGCAGAGAAAGAAGATGAATACATTTGGATTTCCTATTTCTCCTGTCTTCCAGTTTCTCACCAACCTCTTCTGTTGGCTTAACCTACCCAGAAGTTAGCTAATCTGAGAACCTTCAGAGAACAGCTTTCCTGTCACCCAGAGCAGAATGGACAAAGGGTAAGGAATTAGATCTGAGAGCAAACAGGTCAGGGACTGGTCCATGTCAACTGACTCACTGATAGTAGAAAAGGATTATTCATAGCAGCCTTCAGTTACATGAATGGGTAACCCCATGACTTATCTAGAACTTATTTGTATTTATTTTTATTCTTTAATATTCTACATTGCAAAGCAACACATTTTTAAAAAATTATTTTGAGCAAGGTTAATGAGAAGGCAAAAAATATCTTGGGATCTCAGATCTATGAATTTTGAGATTATTTTTATTCATATCCCTCTCTTTCCACTCATTGCTTGGAGATGTACAATATTATCTGAAGTGTTCTGATAAGTCCTGCAATAAAAAAGTCCACCTGAATTTAACCCAGTGTTTTCCAATAACATTCAATAATATATTATTATATTTTAAGGAGCACCATTTAACTTAACCTGGATCTACTCACCTTGTAAATGTAAGTATAAACCACAGACATAGTACAAACAATATTTGGAAATACTTCACGTGACATTCTTGCTTGAAGTGTTCACATAATAGAAACTCATTTGTACATAAGATATGCTGTTCTAGTTTTGAACACATTTGAAAATTTGGGGAGGTAATTTTATTTTATCTTCTAATGACTGGTTTTGTCTTTTAGAAGAAAGTTAAAGAACTAGTAAATAGATAGTGACGATTTTCAAATATCTCATAAATTATATCTAGCGTGTGCCCACCTCACTTGTCTCATTCAAATCCCAACAGTATTATTTTCTCCTCCAAATCCTCAAATGCTTGGTTTTTCTGAATCGTTCTGGTCATTCTCCTGGAAATGTTATTGTTTTCAATATCTCTACTACCATATGGTTGTCAGATGGTGCATATCATAGCTGGTGGATTCTTACCAACAAAGAGCAAAATTGAGCTATCATTCCTCTTATTTGAAAAATATTAATTCCCCTGGGTAAGTTGGTGTGAGAAATACGTCATGTAGTTGCATATCAATTTTGTCACCCAAACTATTAGAAGGAAATCTGGTCTAGAAAAATGTGGAAAACCCCATGTCTACTATCGCATGTAAGTGGTCAAAGACTGATAAAATCTAGGAATCCTGATTCTGAGATTGTTTATGTAACTATTTTTCCAGGAAACGTTTGCCTGCCAAGAATGGGCAGTAGAACACAGATTCAGTAGACACTTCCTGTCCCCTTGCAAGAAATTCTGATATTTCCTCTTATTTGAAGGCAACTGCCATAGTAAACTCATTAGAAGGTGTCGTCCCTCTTGATTCTGTTGAGAAAGCTCAAATGTTGACATTCAACACTTATCTATACACTCTCCTTCTAGTTTTGTTTTGTTTTGTTTTTTGTTTTTGAGACGGAGTCTTGCTCTGTCACCCAGGCTGGAGTGCAGGAGTGCGATCTTGGCTCACTGAAACCTCCGCCTCCCGGGTTCAAGAGATTCTCCTGCCTCAGCCTCCTGAGTAGCTGGGAATTATAGGCGCCTGCCACCATGTCACGCCTGGCTAATTTTTTGTATTTTTAGTAGAAATGGGGTTTCACCTTGTTGGCCAGGCTAGTCTCGAACTTCTGACTTCAGGTGATCCACCCACCTTGGCTCCTTCTTCCATCACCTACATCACCTGTGAGCACATAATCCCTAGGTTCCGTTTCATGCCATCTTGAACTGCATGGTCATTTCAGTTGTTGTCCATGGATGACCGTCTGCCTTAGACTAAGCAAAATTAAGAATATCTTCCTAGTCTGGAACTAGGAAACTAAAACTACCCTGAGAGGCTTAAGAGAAAACCAGAAATTGTAAATGCTTAAAGGAACAAACTAGGAATATTCCATAACTTAGTGACTATTATGAAGAAAATGTTGATTTTAGTGCTTGATACATGATGGCTACAAACAAAAGCTTATGTGTCATTCTTGTTTAAAATATACTTATATTGTTTGTTCGTTAGCACATTCTGAAAGGTAATTAGAGGGTAGTGGACCATTACTCTATAAATATGAGTTACATGGATAAATTAGCAAATTATTCATTTAAGTATATATATGTGTTTGTGAGAGAGTGTACACATATGCATACACATATAAAAAATAAAAATGCATAACTCATAGAATTGCTTGAAAAAATAAACAAATCAGTCCATATAGTCATGTAATGCATATAAAAGACTTAGCTGACAACTTTGTGCTGTTATCTTTATCTATCAAATACAACCCAAGGCATGGGAGACTTTGTTTCACTTGTGACAATTAACTGCAAAGTATTTTTATTATTATTATTATACTTTAAGTTCTAGGGTACACGTGCACAACGTGCAGGTTAGTTACATAGGTATACATGTGCCATGTTGGTTTGCTGCACCCATCAACTCATAATTTACATTAGGTATTTCTACTAATGCTATCCCTTCCCCAGCCCCTCACCCCCCGACAGGCCCCAGTGTGTGTTGTTCCCCACCCTGTGTCCATGTGTTCTTATTGTTCAACTCGTGCCTATGAGTGAGAACATGCGGTGTTTGGTTTTCTGTCCTTGTGATAATTTGCTTAGAATGATGGTTTCCAGCTTCATCCATGTCCCTGCAAAGGACATGGACTCATCCTTTTATATGGCTGCATAGTATTCCATGGTATATATGTGCCACATTTTCTTAATCTGGTCTATCATTGATGGACATTTGGGTTGGTTCCAAGTCTTTGCTGTTATGAATAGTGCTGCAATAAACATATGTGTGCATGTGTCTTTATAGTAGCATGATTTATAATCCTTTGGGTATATACCCAGTAATGGGATTGCTGGGTCAAATGGTATTTCTAGTTTTAGATCCTTGAGGAATCACCACACTGTCTTTCATAATGTTTGAACTAATTTACATTCCCACCAACAGTGTAAAAGCATTCCTATTTCTCCACATCCTCTCCAGCATCAGTTGTTTGCTGACGTTTTAATGATTGCCATTCTAACTGGCATGAGATGGTATCTCATTGTGGTTTTGATTTGCATTTCTCTGATGACCAGTGATGATGAGCATTTTTTCATATGTCTGTTGGCTGCGTAAATGTCTGCTTTTGAGAAGTCTCTGTTCATATCCTTTGCCCACTTTTTGATGGGTTTGTTTTTTTCTTGTAAATTTAAGTTCTTTGTAGATTCTGGATATTAGCCCTTTGTCAGATGGGTAGATTGCAAAAATTTTCTCCCATTCTGTAGGTTGCCTGTTCACTCTGATGATAGTTTCTTTTGCTGTTCAGAAGCTCTTCAGTTTAATTAGATCCCGTTTGTCAATTTTGGCTTTTGTTGCCATTGCTTTTGGTGTTTTAGTCATGAAGTCCTTGCCCATGCCTATGTCATGAATGGTATTGCGTAGGTTTTCTTCTAGGGTTTTTATGGTGTTAGGTCTTACATTTAAGTCTTTAATCCATCCTGCATTAATTTAATGCAAAGTTTTTTTTAAAGGTGAGGAAACTGAGGCTAAGAGAGGTTAACTAATGTGTTCATATTTTTGTAGCTGAGTAACTTTGGATAGAGTAGGCTAAGAAGTGGAGCTAGAATCAAATGGTACCTGATTGCAGTGCCAATGAAAGTATGCAATAGGATAGCCAGCTGATGCGTCTTGGTATTTGCTAATGATGCTGATTTAGTACAGATGCCAGTGAAGGTGGAAATACAGGCTGCAAAGACTCACTAGGGCTTATGCATGTTTGGTTCTTAATACTACTTTGGACAAAATACTCCCTGCTTAGAACATAATTGTATTAACCTAGTAGTGGGTTCTAAAAGGCCCTTTTCTAATGAGTAGGTAGCACGTGGCTTGCCAAGTGTTTAGAGAATACAAATCAAGTAGTTCCGAACCATATATCATAGGAATCTTACATTATTGTTACTTTATAGAAGATATGTAGGGAACCAACTTGTCCCACTTTGTTCAAAACTTTCCTGGTTTTAGCACTAAGTTTTGCATCTGAAAATACCCTAGGTCCCAGACAAAACAGATAGACAATTGGTCAATCTAATCCAGAAAGGGATATTTGGGTCATAATTGCATAATCTCATTAGAAGAAGAATAAAGTCTCCTCATTAATATTTCAATACTCACCCGTCCTCATTCTTAATTAAATTTATGGGTTTGGAGTCTTGATAGCTTTATAATTGCAAGCCATTCTCTGCCATTCTTTGCCAAATAAAGGCTGAATCTGTTATTTCCTTCAGGACTTAGTTGTTATTGTTCTTCTTTATTGCCTTAGTGTACTTGGAATACTGATTTGATATTAAAGGTTACTGTAGTTCTGTTTATCTTCACAAGGGCAAAATCTTTCGCAAAACCTCTTTGGAAGCCGTGCCAGGCATGAGAAGTTTTTTAAATTTAATGATTTGTTATTCAGAACCCAGTAATGTTAATGTTGTGATGATACAGTCTTGCAAATGGTTGAACACTGAAAAGTGAATGTTACTCTTGACTTTTTAATCAACTTGCATCTCCATCTTCCTTTGAATAACGAGATTAGTCATGTCTGTCCTGCTTCTTATAGAGGAAAAAGCTGCCGGTTATACACACTGTTATTATTCTGTATTTTCTTAAATAATAGTTTTCACAGGTATAATTAACTAATTGTATGTTTATTTAGTACCATTCCATGAAGTAGAAAGAGGCCTGTCTTGTTGACCAGTGTATTTTCAGTACTTACATAAAAACTGAATGTATTTTGTATGCAGTACATATCGGTTGAATGCAAGTATTGATGAAGGACAGATGGATGGATGGATGGATGGATGGATGGATGGATGGATGGAAGGATGGATGGTTAGATGGATGGATGGATGGATGGATAGATGGGTGGATGGATGAGATGAACGGTGAATGGATGAATAAAGGATGGATGGATGAGATGAACGGTGAATGGATGAATAAAGGATGGATGGATGAAATTTTTAGCCACAGCTAGCCCAATGTGGTTATAGGCTACATTATACTTCTGTCATGACATGACGTTTTATATAGACCTTCACTTTTCTAAACTATGCATTTAAAAGAACCTAGTGAATATCTTCATTCTTTTCCTCTGGCTGAGAACAGTCATGTATAAGTGTTGCCCTGCTCATGTATGACAGGACAGGAAAAAAGTCAGAGAACATATAGTAGGTCTGCCCACTAGTCAGATAAATTATTTTTACTATGTGCTCACTAAATCTGTCCCCCTTTCAAATAGAAAAGCTTGGAGTTTGAAGGAATCTTATAAATCAGACAATTCAAATCACCTTTTTAAAGATGAGGAAAAGGACCACAGATGTGTTAGTTTACTTGTTAAAGGTTACACAGCACATTATTAACAGAGCCAATAATAATAGCCAGATCTGCCATGGGCAGCTCCGCGTTACCTTATGCTGTCTGCTTAAATATAGTATTCTTTAATGCTGCTTCTTTGAGCCAGATTCGCTGAATCAGTCTCTGGTCTGCCAGACCCAGGATAACAAAATTAACTAGCCTTTAGTTTTTGCCACTGCTTCTTATTTAACTAGATTTCTAATCTTCAGCCTCTTCTCGTCAAAATAATCTGATTCTCCATGCATTGGGGGAAATATCAGGGAAATTTCTTGCAAACATATGACACAAGAAAAATAAGAGCACATCCAAGAAAACTTCCACGGCTAGTGACAATCTAGCAATTCATCCCATAAGGATCAAACACAAAAGGATTTCATATTCACTTTCAAAGTTAGTTATGCAATTCATTTATACTTCACACACTTAGAATTCTGGATTTATATGGAAGGCCTCTTTTTTTTCCTGTATTCTCTATAAATTGTGAATGCTGTTCCTGAGTTGAAGGTTAGCCCCAGTAATAGAAATGCAGTCAGGTGGAAATTGTCTACAGCAGAACTATTACTGGATCCATGATGCGATATCTCTACATACAATATGCTTTGGGCATAAATGAGAAGAGGAAAGAATGGCACTGAAATAGGATTTCCCCTCTAACTAAGGCCATTCTAACTAAGGAAGAAATTACCGTATTGGAAAGATGCCACTGCCTTCTATTCAATATTCATTTAAAAGGAACATTTCTGATAGCTTCATTTATGCACATTTTCAACAAACAACAACCCAAAGAATCAGAACTTGCCATATTCAATTTTATGCAGCTCACTAAATGACCAATAAGAGAGACAGAGGGCACTTGTACTTTTTCATGCTTAGATTACTGCAAAATGGAACAATTAACAAATGTATGCTGCTAGATTCAGACTCTTTTCTTCCAATATTTTGCACAGATGCCAAATGCAAAATGCACTTTCAAAATGCATTATATTAAGAAATAATTGGTCTTTATTCTAGAAGTTAATTTAACTGATAATTCTAAACAGGTGGCTTATGGCTCTATAAGAACTCCTATTAGTTACTTTGCTTGAGATTATTTTCTAATTTTCTTCTGGAAAAGTTGGGCAAACTGAATGCTTGAAGTTCACTCCTCATGTCTGGTACAGTATGAGAAAATATTCTTGTTGGCTACTTGACAGGGTAAATAAAATAAGGAACTACTGGGAAAAGAGAATATATTGCTCCCTGAAGGTGCAAGTGTTTCTTCAAGCTGAAAATTACACATTTATGAGAAAAGCCAAGTGCTTCCCAATGGAGAATTGGGTATCTCAAATCAGTTGAAGTTAAATGAAATACATATATTGAATAGATAACTAAATTCCACAATTGGAACTTAAGGAAATGCATTCTCCTCTGTCAAAACGTTTCACATAGGTTCAAATAACTGGGATTGTGCATCACGTCATGGAATGAATTCAACATAAAAATAAATTGGTTGAAAAATCAAGGAAAATATTTTAAATTAAATTGTTTGCTTTCTCCCTTTCCCAATTCTGTCTCTTTTCCTTTCCAGAGGCTTCTAAGAGACTTTAAGTGTGCACCAAGGGATTTTCTAGCTGTTTTCACCCACGGTTGATATATCTCAAATGTCCCTATACTAATCTTCCCTTTTGCTGATAGCAAATAATGTAGATGTACTCCTTTTTTATTATTGCTGCAAAAATGATTTATCTTCAACATTTAATACATTAAAACATTCATAAAAATACAAATAGTTCTACGGTAAATGTGTGGGTTTGTCATGAGCACTGATTGAATGCACTAACTATTCGCCAAGACTGTGAAAAGATTGTCCCATTCTGATGCTAGCGATGACACTGTGATTTTGGACATTCTATGTTTCAACTTGACTGTCTCTTAAATCATGTAACTCTCTTCCTGTACAATCTCAACTATTCTAGACCTTTGTATATTATTTTTCTGCTGATAGTTCTAAAACTGACATCCAGATCATTTACTTTTCTTCTGAGAAGTGCCCTTTAGACAATTTTATGTGAAATTTTCCTGGTGCTTCATATCTGTTATGTACAAAACTGAGCTCAGGCCCTTTATCTGCTGTGGCTGTGGTTTGTGGCAGGCTCCTACTAGGCCCTATAAGGGAGCTGCATCAGTTGGAAGGGAGGGACATCGGTTCCTCTATATGAAGAGGTGGCTGTTGACAAAGCCATGGGCCTGTGGGACTGCATCAATCCAGAGGGGCTGTCTTTTCCTAATCTGTACAAAGGAGCTCCAAAATCTAATAGGGTCCTTGATTGAACACTCTATATTCTTTCTCACTTGCTTCATTTCCTAAATTTCCTGTTTCTAGTAAAGATAATTTAAATTTGGTAATTGAAGACACTTCCTTACCTCTACCACTCACTTCTCTCCCTATCCAGTTAGTTTCTAGATTCCACTGAAGGGTATCCTACAGATGTTTTTTGCTGTTCATTATAGGGGTGTTTGTTCTGTTAAAGAAATGGGGAGCAGTAGTCTTAGATTTAAGGTTGCACATCATTAGACTTGGAATAAGCCATTTTTCAACAGGAGCCCAACAATTGCTTTTTTAAAAAGAACAAGAAAAAGCTCTCCTCCCCTTGTACGAGGCTGATACTTCTTCAAACTAACTCCCATTGTGTCAGAGAGCTCTTTCTAAAATATAAAACTTTTCATGTCATATCTCTACATATAGTTTGTAATAAGTTAAAAATAATAGCCTCCAGAAGATGTCCATGTCCTAATTCCTGAAACTTATTAATACATTACCTTATATGGTTAAAAGGACTTTGCTATTGTACTTAAGTTGAAGATCTTGATTTGGGAAGATTATCCTAAATTATTCAGGTGGGTCCAACGTGATCACGAGGTCTTTATAACAGTGAAACAGGAGGAAGAGAATCACTAGCAGGAGATGGGATGATGGAAGCAAGAGGTAGGGGTGATGAGCGGAAGGGGCAGTGAGCTTAAAAATGCAGGTGGCTTACGGAAACGATAAAAGGCAAGAATATAGATTCTCCTCTCAGAGTCTCCAGAAGGAACCAGCTAAGATAACACTTTGACTTTATACCAGTGAAACTATTTTGGACTTTGAAAATTCAGAAGCACAAGATAATAAATTTGTGTTGTATTAAGCCACTAAATCTGTGATAGATTTTCACAGCAGCAATAGGAAACTAATGCATCAATTTTGATCAATGGCTCTTTATAATTTTCAGAATAAATTTCAAACTTCTTAATTTAGCACAGAAGTCCTTCCATGATATATCACTGCACAGCTCTCTGATCTTACTTTCAGCTACTATCCAGTTCTAAATTACTTTTACAGTTGCTGAAATTTCAAGCTGATAGACCATTTCCAACTACTTCCTTTTGTGGGCATTAGAAATATTTATTCCATCTCTCTTTCTCTCTCTCTCTCTCTCTCTCTCTCTCTCTCTTTCTGCTAAAGCCTACTTATCCCTTCCTTCAGGACTCCTTTTTTGATACTCAAATCCAGTGTGGAAAATTCACAAATGAAAGAAAAACTGATGAATAAGAAATTCATTAAGAACACTTTTTTAAACCCAACTCTTTGCCACAGTGGGTTTTTTGTTTGTTTTGGGTTTTGTTGTTGTTGTTGTTGTTTTTAAGATGGAGTCTCGCTCTGTCACCCAGGCTGGAAGGCTGGAGTGCAGTGGCGCGATCTCAGCTCACTGCAACCTCCGCCTCCCAGGTTCAAGTGACTCTCCTGCCTCAGCCTCCCAAGTAGTTGGGATTACAGGCATGTGCCACCACGCCCAGCTAACTTTTGTATTTTTAGTAGAGATGGGGTTTCACCATGTTGGCCAGGCTAGTCATGAACTCCTGACCTCAGGTGACTCACCTTCCTTGGCCTCCCAAAGTGCTAGGATTACAGGAGTGAGCCACTTGTGCCGGCCTGCCACAGTCTTAAGGTACAGCTATTGTCACCGTCTCAATGTATGGCATGATAATTTAGATCTCAGTCTCCATAAATCATTTTCAAACTTAAATCTCTTTCATGAGATACTTTTCTACTTTGAAGGATTATATCAGTGGATTCATAAGGAAGCAATTTACAAATTATCATTAGAGAAAAGTATTTGTTAGTTGTCTGGGCAGATGAGTTTTACTTCTATGGCCAGAATTAAATTTCTAGCTTATGGTGACCACTAAAATATGGTACCAGACTGATGACTCATGCAACTTTTTGCTCTTACTATAATTACACTATCCAGGACAAAGTCCCCACTGAGAGAAATGCCTGTACTCTGTGTACAATACATACAGCATGTAGTGTCATTTTTGAGGGTATGTCATGGGATTCCACGTCAGGAACACATTTAAATGACACTAAATTACACACACGCTTACACACAAATCCAACAAGCAAAAATTTAGTGTACAATTAACGATATAGCTCAGTAGTAAGTCTGGTTATCATTAAAAAAATCCTTGAATATTTAATAGAACCTAATTAAAATTAATAGAGAAAACACTATGAAAACATTAAATAAGAACATTTTTCTTTTTTTTTATGAGAGGAAAATACCCATTCTTAAAATAGGCTTTTAATGCTCACATTTAATCTCTGTACTAGCTTCTTTTGTCAAACAACATAATGAACTCTCAGTCAATAAACAATCACATGATATTTTAAAGAACTTTGTTGTGCTAAGTACTATGCAAGGTGTTTTCATCTTCATTGTCTCGTATCCCCTACTGTCTTCCAACACTCACACAAATGTTAGATGTGTCACTTTATACATTACTGTCCAAAAAAGTAAAGGTCAAAATGGCCAATGAAGCAGCAAGTAGAAGAGTCTGTTAGATTTAAACCCCTTTTTCCTAGTTCCAGGTTTAGAATTTCTCCTCTTACTACACATTGCCTCCCTTAAGAATATCTCTACGATAATTAACTTATTAGTTTAGTCATGTTTGAAATGCTTGTTCTCCGGTGCCATAAAGAAATAGCACTTGAACATAAATTTATTTAGTAAGGCCATTTTTACTTCCTGCAGAACGGGTACACTCGCCAGCAGTTTTGCCACGAGAGTACACCGAACAAAGGAGACAGGGTCATTTATAACCTGATGCATCCACCCTACTGCTGTTTCCGGTTTCTACTGGCTGGAACGGAACCTCACATTCTGTGTTTATCCCAATTGGCGAGCAACTTAGAACTTTTTAAAAGAGGCAAAGGTAGACAAGAACAAAGGAAGGAGGAAGTAACTTGCGGAATGCTGAGAAGAGTAAAAACACTTTTAAATAAGGAAAAGGAACAGGCTATGACCCAATGCTTGCTTGGACCAGTATAAGCATGCCAGGGCAAATATTTAAGCTCAATTGTGGATAAGCTAAGAACTTAAAGTACATTGATTTCTCTGTTATGGCTAGCAGATATTTAAGAATGTTAGCACAGGTCTTCGAATACCTTTTGCTTTTAAGAGAAGTTATTACTTATTCCTAATTAGACAGGGAGGAAAGTCTTTGAAGAAGAACCTCTATTTTACTTTTTACAGTCAGATTCTCCACTGTTCCTTTTGAAAAAGTAGCTGACGGATGTGTGTAGCCCGAACATCCCCAAAAACTTTACCCTCACTTCTTTCACACCTTTATTTTGATTTTTATACCAGTCATGTCTTGTCCACATTCCAGAGATGTGCCTAATTATAGCACCCATCTAAAGTAATAATCCAATGAGCAAAAAATTATAGATAATCAATAAATAAATGTTGGTGAGTGCCATTTGGAATTGTTTGCACTTGAGTGTATAATATTGGAAAAGACTTATGACAAAAGTTGTTTATAGTCCCAAATTCCAATGCCAGACACATGACAGACTTTCCCAAACTGTGAGAGTCAACATGGGTGATAGAATATGCTTCATCTTCAGAGACACACACAATACATTACTTTGAATTTTTCTCTATTTTTAAATAGTTGTGTGATTTTGGACTGATCACATAGCCTGAGTTTAATTTTTCTCTGTTTTAAAATAAGAGTAGCAATACCTCCCCTGCTAAATACGCAAGAGCTACCATCTCTGTCCTTCAGAGCCAGATAATTATCCTTCACAAAGATGATTATTTTGCAAGGTGATACATAATTTGGCATTTTCATAGACGTTTTTGTCATGGGAAACTTGTTTTGATAATTCTCTGTCTTCAGAGTAAACAGGCTTTCATTTGATATCAATGGTGTTTGATGGAAAAGGAGAAGGTGAGTGTATCGGGAGTTAGAAAAGAGAAATGGATATATACAAGATGTGTAAGTTCCTTAAAAGTAAGAGATTCAAGCAAAATAAATTCTGAAAGAATACACAGGAGACTATATAGTTTAGAGGAGCTGGTCATTATCTTTGCAATCACTGTTTCCAAACTACATCTCCACAACTCACTAGCTGTTCAAATTCTGATTCGTTCTTTAATCCCCATTTTTTCCTCGTTATGTGGAAACATTAATACATATTTCATCGGTTTAAATGAGATAAGGTATGATTTCTGTCATGCACAAACTATCAGGAAATAATGATAGTACTAATAATTATCATGCATAAATTCTCACCTGCTAATGAAGAACCTTGGGAATTTATATAAAAAGATATTTACTTTTGCCTAAGTCGCTTTTTTGTTTGAGTTTTTCTTATGGTTACAGAGTGCTATTTGTTTTTACTCATTGTTTCACACATCTTCCTTCTGAGTTTAGTTTCCTTCGTACTGAAATACGTCCTTTAGAAGTTCATTCAGAGATGCTTTGTTAGTAATAAATTTTTCAATCTTTTAGGACCAAAGTTGTCTTGATTTTGCTCTTAATCTTGAATGATGATTTGGCAGGCTTTAGAATTCTAGGTTGGCAGTTTCCCTTATTGCCTGGAAAATATTAATCCATTACATTCTAGTCT
This sequence comes from Homo sapiens, assembly GCF_000001405.40. Taxonomy (NCBI): domain Eukaryota; kingdom Metazoa; phylum Chordata; class Mammalia; order Primates; family Hominidae; genus Homo; species Homo sapiens. The sequence continues at coordinate 59,967,436 of NC_000016.10, forward strand.
TTTATTGGTGTTAAAGGAATGTACATTAATTATTAAAATTGTTTATTTGTGTGTAATCTATTCTTCCTCTTTTGCTTCATTCTTGATTTCATTTTCCTCTTTTGTTCTGCAGTTCGCAACAGTATGTCCCAGTAGGGATAACTTTTATTCTCTTTATTGAGCCTTTATTTGATTCTTTAAGGATTCATATTTTGTTCATTCTGCAAAATTCTCAGACTCTTTTTTTAGATATCTATTGCTTCCTAGCTTCTTCCTCAAAATTTAATGGCTTTAAGCCACAAACATTAATTATACCTCATGATTTTAAGCTTCATAATTCATGCAAAGCTCAGCTGGATATTTCTGCTCCCTGTCGCATTGAGAGTTTACTCAGTGGTATTCAGCTGGTGATGGGTCTCATCTGCAGGGTCCAAACAGGCTGGGGCTTTGGCAGAGGTGATTGGAAAGCTAGGCTTAGCTCCATATAATCTGAAGATTCCAACCTAAAGGTTCCTACTTGAGATATTGTTTCTACAGCAAGGCACTAGAATTTCTTACATGGCCGCCCAGAACTCTGAGCCAGTAAGAGGAAGTAGCAAGTCATCTTAAAGTCTAAGTCCAAAACTTACTGTATTCTGTTGGTCAAAACAGTCATAGGTTTATCCAGATTCAGTAGGAGGGAAAAGGATGTTTTAGGCCATTTTTGCGTGGCTATAAACGAATACCTGAGACTGGGTAGTTAAAAAAGAAAGAGGTTGAATTAGCTGACAGTTCTGCAGGCTGTACAAGCGTGGCACTGGCATTTGCTCGGCTTCTGAGGAGGCTTCAGGGAACCTGGTGGAAGGTAAAGTGGAAGCAGACATGTCACATGGTGAAAGCAGAGGCAAGAGAGCAAGTACAAAGATGCCATACACATTAAACAGCCAGATGTCACAAGAAGTCACTCATTATCACAAGGACAGCACCAAGGGGATGGCGCTAAACCATTCATCAGAAATCTGCCCCCATGACCTAATCACCCCCCACCAGGCCCCATCTCCAACATTGGGGATTACATTTCCACATGAGATTTAGAGGAGACAACATTCAAGCTATATCAAGTGGGCTCCCACCCTATGATCAAATAATTTATAGCCATCTCTAACTCCCCACAATTACTTCTACTACGGCTTATTCCCCCTTCTTTCTCTTACCTCCTTCTGGAATTCTAATTATATGTGTACATGTTGAAATTTGCCATCTGATCCTCAATGTCTTTTAACCTGTTTCAGATATTACCCATCTCTCTCTGCTGAATTCTTAAGTCTTCCTAATAATCTTATAAACCAGTAATTATTTCTTTAATGTCAAATATGTTGATAAACTTATGTAATCAGGTTTTCATGTGGTATGTACTACAGAGATATATTCCTTTCCAGAGGCCTATTTTGCTCTTTTTCATATTTTGCTGGTTTCTTTTATGATGTCTTGTTTCTTTGTTTCTTCATTTCTTTCTTACTCAAGGCATGTTTTTTTGTTTGTTTGTTTTTGTCCTTTTTTTTTTAGTTTGAGTCTCACTCTGTCACCCAGCCTGGAGTGCAGTGGCACAAACCTCAGTTTACTGCAACCTCTGTCTCCCAGGTCAAGTGATTCTCTTGCCTCAGCCTCCTGAGCAGCTGAGATTACAGGTGTGTGCCACAATGCCCAGCCTATTTTTTAATTTTTTTAATTTTCAATTTTTAAAAAAATAGTATCAACTTTTATTTTAAGTTCAGAGGTACATGTGCAGGATGTGCAGGTTTGTTACACTGGTAAACATGTTCCATGGTGGCTTGCTGCACAGATCATCCTATCACCTAGGTATTAAGCCAGCATCCTTCAGGAATTCTTCCCAATGCTCTCCCCATCTCCCGCCCCAACCCCAACAGGCCCCAGTGTGTGTTGTTCCCCACTATGTGTCCATGTGTTCTCATCGTTCAGCTCCCACTTATAAGTGAGAATATGTGCTGTTTGGTTTTCAGTTCCTGCATTAGTTTGCTGAAAATAATGGCCTCCAGCTCTATTTATGTCCCTGCAAAGGACATGATCTCATTCCTTTTTATGGCTGCATAGTATTCCATGGTGCATATGTTCCACGTTTTCTTTATCCAATCTAATGTTAGTGGGTATTTGGGTTGACTCCATGTCTTTGCTATTATGAATGATGCTGCAGTAAACATATGCATGCATGTATCTTTATAATAGAATGATTTATATTCCTTTGGGTATATACCCAAATGGTCAAATGGTATTTCTGGTTCTAGATCCTTGAGGAATTGCCACACTGTTTTCCATAATGGTTGAACTAATTTACATTCTCACCAACAGTATGGAAGAGTTCCTTTTTCTCCACAACCTCGCCAGCATCTGTTGTTTCTTGGCTTTTTAATAATCACCATTCTTACTGGTGTGAGATGCTATCTCATTGTGGTTTTGATTTGCATTTCTCTAATGATTACTGATGTTGACCTTTTTTTCATATGTTTGTTGGTTGCATGGATGTCTTCTTTTGAGAGGTGTCTGATTTGACCTGAAATCCCAAGCCAGTGGAATAGCAACACCAACTACATCCAGCTTCTGTGTCTGTCTCCCCACTGGACACACAGACATGCACACACACACACACACACACACACACACGCAGCTTGAAATAAACACATATTCCAGCTCTTGTTTTTAGTTACCTCTTTGTTTCTATCAACTTGGGGGCTCTCTTTTTTCTCATAAGCTTAGCTATTTATTATAAATGCTTTTCAAATAGTTTATCCAGTATTTTAACATACTTACAGTGATAGTGTTAAATATTTCTTAGTCTGCCATCTTGCTACAGTGAGAAATTCTGTCTTTACTCCCTAATTAAAGAAAAAAGAAAGAAAAAAGAAGAAAAGAAATATCCTGAATCATATACATTTTTATATTACAGCAGAATGCAAAAAAATGTGAAGATCTGTGAACACAGAAATAACTAAGTTATGGATTGGTATGGGCAACTTAAAAGAAAATCCCTATTTAAAATACAACTATTGTGAAGAAGTTTATCTAATTAAATAACGATCAGTATGAAGCAAGTTCTTCCTAAGAGCTACTTCACTTGATAATGTATGAATGACTATTTTTATAGAAAAATGTTGTGCCAAGTTAGTTGCTCTCTGCGTTAATATTACAGTCAGAATAATAGAGAACAATAAAATTAGTTCCCACTGCCTAAGTTTTATACTTTAATATGACAAAGTAATGTTTTTTATTTATCTTTTTTCCCCCATGCATAGTCTTCTGTTGACAACCCCAATGTTTCTTGTGTACATCTGCAACCAAATAAATAACGAGCTAACAATTTGGCACAATATACACCATTTTATGGATAATCATGCTCATTTACAAAGGTAAGCATGTTTCTTCATCCAATAGTTTTCTCAAAGTTCCTCCAAAATAAAAATTATGTTAACACAGAGTAGCTTAACTGCCCTAGAAATGTTGACATTGTACTGATGCTATCTGAAGGACTCGGTATGTTTCTGGCTTTAAGAAAACTGCTGGTAGGAATATTATGACAATAGATATGCTAATATTCTTTGCTTTATAAATTATAAGTACCCTTAAAGGACAGTGCCAATACTAGTTCATTTTTGGGCGTGAAAGAAAAACAAACAAACAAATAAAATTTTTCTAGTCCAGCCTCAGGCGTTTTAGAAGAAGGTGTTGTGCCCATGGTCATCAGCACCAGAAATTAGCAAATGATCTTGCTGAAAGTTTTGCAATCCTAGCTCTGAAATTCACCAAAAACATTTGCTTTTGTTTGTTTTGCTTAATTTTTGCCTTCTTAGCTGGTTACAGGAATTTCTTGTCTTTGTTTCAACATTTCGGTCCCTGCATGTCCTCCTTGTCTTTTCCTAGAGGAGGCATAGTTTAAAAAGCAAGGTTAAATGAGATCTTTCCTTTATATTTTTTATCATTCTCTTCCTCTATACAACATATCATTTGTGTAAGGCACCCACCCAGTCCCTTCCATAGGAATGACTAATATCCTTTTTCCATGGCTCTGTTTACTGTTTCCTGCCAGTTACTCAAGTTCTTAGCAATATGCCACTTCTTCAAAGAACCTTTCCCTGAAACGGGAGGTCACAACCAAATGCTCTTTCCACCTGTTCTCTTGGTACCTGTTCTTCATCCCATAATGACGTGCATAGTTCATTATTCTTCATTAAGCAGTAAAGAAGGTTATTTATTTAAAGTAGGATATTCTGTGCTACCAAAGACTGTATAGAATGTACAATTCAATCACATTCCTAGAATGTAGAAGACAATCAGAAGTTACTTTTAAATGAGTGAATGTGTTAATGAAGGAATCCATCAATAAATTGACCAAAGTTTGAGTCACACTCAATGGACAATTAGGAAGAATAAAATTCTGTTAAATATAAATGAGATGAAAACGTATACCTGAATACCTGATTACTCCACCAACTCACAATAAACGATGGGAACCTTATTTTTAATATCATTTTATATATATTTGATATATATGTGTATGTATATATTAATGATAATGAGATGAGTCCTGGGGTGGGTAAGAACAAAAGGTTAACAAGGTGTCCTAAATATTTAGGACATTTTGTATTGTTATTTTGCAATCCCAGAACTGGAATAATAAATTAGGTATTCGGCAAATGAAATAAAATAAGGTGGCTCACGCCCGTAATCCCTGCCCTTTGGGAGGCCGAGGCGGGTGGATCACGAGGTCAGACGATCTAGACCATCCTGGCTAACTTGGTGAAACTGCGTCTCTACTAAAAAATGCAAAAAATTAGCCGGGCGTGGTGGCAGGCGCTTGTAGTCCCAGCTACTCGGGAGGCTGAGGCAGGAGAATGGCGTGAACCTGGGAAGTGGAGCTTGCAGTGAGCCGAGATCGTGCCACTGCACTCCAGCCTGGGCAACACAGCGAGACTCCATCTCAAAATAATAATAATAATAATAATAATAATAATAATAAAATAAGTTTCACAAACTCTTTTATAAAAGCCCGTTTTCATATATATATGAGAAACAGAGAAGGGGAGAGAGGGAGAGGGAGAAAGAATGTATTTCTCTTTCATAAGTAAGTTTAAAATAATAGTTCATCCAGAAAACTGAAAAGTAAAATGGCAGACACTGGTATATTTTATTGAGGCAAGCCAAGCACGGACTAATCACTAACATTTTTATTGGTGACTAAATCAGTATAATAGAAAAAAGGTATTTAAAAACAGACCTAATTTCATCTTATAAGAACTCACTGAGATAGGCAGGGAAATTATTGCTCTTATCATTGCATACATTTTTTTGAAAAAGGAAGCTAGGTAAATTTTCATTGAGGCAAAATGTATAAATTGTATATCTGGGGCTGGAACCTTGTTTTCTAGTGATGCAAATAATAACAATTATTTAGTTACTTCTATGTTCCATGCTCTAGGCTATGTGCCTTAAATATATTTTTAACTCTAAAAAATATATATTTACAAGAAGTTGCAAATGGTATAGGCAGTTCCCTTGTACTCTTCAGCTAATTTCGCTAAATGGTAACATTTTATAATACACAGTATAATACAATATCAAAATCAGGAATTTGACATCGTTACAATTCACAAAGCTTATTCTGGTTTTATTATACTCATCTGTATACAGGGGTGTGTATGTGTGTGTGTGTGTCTTTCCATGCATTTTTAACAGGCATAAATTTATGTAACCACCTCAATCAAAACACTGTTCCATCAACATAAAGATTCTTCAAGTACAAAACCACTAAGTTGCTCTCTGGTTTTATTTTGTAATTATAAGAATACTATATGGAATTATATACTATGTAATCTTTTGATATCAGCTCTTTCTTTATTCAGCATAACTCCCTCAAGATCCATCCATGTTGTTGTATGTGTTGATAGTTTATTTCTTTTCATTGCTAAGTAGTATTACCTGGTATGGATATACCATAGGTTGTTTAACCATTCACCAATTGAAGGATAGGATAGATGAGTTATTTGCAGTTTTTGGTTATCACAGAAAAACACTAATGCGCATGTTTTTGTGTTGACAGAGTATACATTTCTCTGAATAAATACCCCAAAGTGCAATTATTTTATCATATAGTACATATGTGTTTTTTTTTAATGCCAAACTGTTTTTCAGAGTGGCTGTATTATTTTAAATTTTCATTAGGAATGTGTGAGAGATCCATTTTTTCTACATCCTTTCTAGCATTTTGCTATTTTTTATTTCAGCTCTTCTGACAGACATGTAGTGGTATCTCACCATGGTTTTAATTTGCAACTTCCTGGTGGAAGTTGGATATGGAACATATTTTTCTGCACATATTTGATTTGGTATGCGTGTAACTTATTCAGTTAAATGTCCATTTGTAAATATAGTAGCTCCCCCTTATCTTCATGTGATATATTCCGAGACCCCCCCCAGGGGATGCCTGAAGCCACAGATAACACTGAACCCTACATATACTATGCTTTTCCCATACATACATGCCTATGAGAAAGTTTAATTTGGCATAGTAATGAGATTAACAACAACTAATAATACAATAGAACAATTATAACAATATACTGTAATAAAAGGTGTATGAATGTGGTCTCTTGCTTTCTAAATATCTTATTGTACTGTACTCACTGTTATTTTCTTGTGGTGCTGTGGAATGATATAACTGTGTGACTAATGGGCAGGGAGCGGCATCTACAGCATGAATACGCTGGACAGAGGCTGATTCAAATCCTGGGCAGGATTGGGCAGGATGGCATGAGATTTCATTACGTTACTCAGAACAGTGTGCAATTTAAAACTTAAGAACTCTTTATTTCTGGAATTTCCCATTTAATATTTTCACACCATGGTTGACTGGGAGTAACTGAAATTGAGGTAAGCAAAATTGTGGTTAAGGGGAAACTACTGTATCTACATTTAATAGTTATATTTAAATATATCTATAATTATGTGCTTGCCATATTATTAGCATTCGATGTCTGCTTTTCATGGGTATGGTAAGAAAATTACAGAGAAGTTAAGTATGTGCCCAAAGGCACACTGCTAAGAAGTGGCAAAGCCGAAGTTAAAAGTTCTGCTGTAATACCAAACTTGCGTTATTGCACTTTGCTGATTTTTCCACTAACTTAATTATTTTATTGTGCTGGCTACTTTGCAGAGATTCAAGGCCACAATTGTGAATAAAGCAAACATGTTACATCTTTACCATGCATTTATAAATATCACTTTTAAATACTTTAGAAGTTAAAAAATCTCTTTAAAAATGAAAGATGAGGCTCTGTGTGGTGGCTCACACCTGTAATCCCAGCACTTTGGGAGGCCGAGGCCGGCGGATCACGAGGTCAGGAGATGGAGACCATCCTGGCTAACATAGTGAAACCCCATCTCTACTAAAAATACAAAAAATTAGCCGGGCGTGGTGGCAGGCCCCTGTAGTCCCAGCTACTTGGGAGGCTGAGGCAGGAGAATGGCGTGAACCTGGGAGACGGAGCTTGCAGTGAGCCAAGATTGTGCCACTGCACTCCAGCCAGGGCGACAGAGCGAGACTCCACATCTCAAAAAAAAAAAAAAATTAAAAATTAAAATAAAAAAATGAAAGATGACAGACTATGTGGAATATGCATTTTATGAACACTTTAAACACTTCTTGTATTAATAAACCAAAATGGAGTTCACACTAAAGTTTATGATTCAAGATATAAACCTAAAGTAAAAATACCTACGTGAGAAAACAAATAAAATACATATTTTATGTTTTAATTAATTTTAAAAATTCCATTTAATACTTGACAAGGGAAGTCGGATGGGGTGGGAGGATGAGAGAGTTTGAGGTGGAAGAAGAAGCAACCAAGAGGTGTGTTTGCAATTTGCCTTCACTAATCACCTTGTACTTCCTCAGCACAGTGGAGGATTAGAATGTGGTAGGTGCACATATTGTTAATTACAGACAAGAAGACATTCTCCAGCTGAAATTAATTAATTACTTTCCTCTGGGTGGCAGAAGCCCAGAGTGGTGTTTGAGATGTAGGGTCATGATTCCTTGTATCAATTTTGTATTTGATTATATTAGTCCTGACAAGCTATTCGCTAAGGACATTATATGTTTCAGTCAATAGTGATATTATTCTTCAGCTATGTCAACACCAAATTACTGGAGATTAATCTTTGATATCCTTGGTGCTCTGTTTTCCTAAGATTTTTGTTCTTATTCATTAAATACAGATATTTATCATTTTTGTATGAATGTCTACTTAGAATTATTGTCTAGTGATTGGCATATCTCATTTGAAAATGATCAAATACTTTCCCATTATACATAATTTTTAAAAACAGAGGCTGGGCTTATTTTAAATCTGAAAGAATATAAAATTCACCACAGTTAAGCTCAACAAAGCCGCAAAGGAACATATTAACATGTTACCAGCTCATGTCTGGAATAATTCATCTACTCATCCATTTGGCTGGACATTTATTAACTAAAAACATAGTTAAATAGCATTCTAGAATGAGTATGCTGCAAAGAGGAAAGCATGAAATGGCTGTACAGGGAAGACAAAGGGTGCTACTGACAAACAGTATGTTTGATATTGCCATACGGGGGAAACATAAAAGTCAGTATCTTCTGTTCAGTAGGGGAGCTGTTTTTAGGTCACATACAACTTAGAAGTCATTCTTGCTCCAGTCAGAATCTACAGCAGCCACTTCAACATCAGAGGGTTCTCAGAACAGCGTGAACTCAACCACAAGTAGAAGGGTAAATTGCAGCAGGCATTTTCTACACTAGACATTGGGAAGTCAGCTCAGCATGGATATTTGTGGTAACCAGTTTGCAACAGGCTGAGTAAGAGAAATAAAAGTACAATTGAAAATCTTCGACTTAAACTCATAAACATTGAACAACTGAAGTTGAAGAGATTGAAATAGTCTCACAATACATGTATCATTGAATATTGCAGGTAAAACAAATGACATGAGACACAGAGTCAAATGGGAAACAGAAATAAATCAGAACAGTCCTGGAAACCATTGATTAAAGATTATTTGACCACTGTTCAAAGATGAGCCTTTGATAAAGCCCATTAACTCAGCCTCAACTCACTAAGGCTTTCTTTAGTAAGGAGATATTGAAAGTTAGTTAAAAACAGGGGGAGGAGCCAAGATGGCCGAATAGGAACAGCTCCGGTCTACAGCTCCCAGCGTGAGCGACGCAGAAGATGGGTGATTTCTGCATTTCCATCTGAGGTACTGGGTTCATCTCACTAGGGAGTGCCAGACAGTGGGCGCAGGTCAGTGGGTGTGCACACCGTGCGCGAGCCGAAGCAGGGAGAGGCATTGCCTCACTGGGGAGGTGCAAGGGGTCAGGGAGTTCCCTTTCCGAGTCAAAGAAAGGGGTGACGGACACACCTGGAAAATCGGGCCACTCCCACCCGAATACTGCGCTTTTCCGACCAGCTTAAAAAACGGCACACCATGGGATTATATCCCGCACCTGGCTCGGAGGGTCCTGTGCGCACGGAGTCTTGCTGATTGCTAGCACAGCAGTCTGAGATCAAACTGCAACGCAGCAGCGAGGCTGGGGGAGGGGCGCTCGCCATTGCCCAGGCTTGCTTAGGTAAACAAAGCAGCCTGGAAGCTCCAACTGGGTGGAGCCCACCACAGCTCAAGGAGGCCTGCCTGCCTCTGTAGGCTCCACCTCTGGGGGCAGGGCACAGACAAACAAAAAGACAGCAGTAACCTCTGCAGACTCAAATGTCCCTGTCTGACAGCTTTGAAGAGAGCAGTGATTCTCCCAGCACGCAGCTGGAGATCTGAGAACGGGCAGACTGCCTCCTCAAGTGGGTCCCTGACCCCTGACCCCCGAGCAGCCTAACTGGGAGGCACCCCCCAGCAGGGACACACTGACACCTCACACGGCAGGGTATTCCAACAGACCTGCAGCTGAGGGTCCTGTCTGTTAGAAGGAAAACTAACAAACAGAAAGGACATCCACACCAAAAACCCATCTGTACATCACCATCATCAAAGACCAAAAGTAGATAAAACCACAAAGATGGGGAAAAAGCAGAACAGAAAAACTGGAAACTCTAAAAAGCAGAGCGCCTCTCCTCCTCCAAAGGAACGCAGTTCCTCTCCAGCAACGGAAGAAAGCTGGATGGAGAATGACTTTGACGAGCTGAGAGAAGAAGGCTTCAGGCGATCAAATTACTCTGAGCTACGGGAGGACATTCAAACCAAAGGCAAAGAAGTTGAAAACTTTGAAAAAAATTTAGAGGAATGTATAACTAGAATAACCAATACAGAGAAGTGCTTGAAGGAGCTGATGGAGCTGAAAACCAAGGCTCGAGAACTACGTGAAGAATGCAGAAGCCTCAGGAGCTGATGTGATCAACTGGAAGAAAGGGTATCCGCAATGGAAGATAAAATGAAGCGAGAAGGGAAGTTTAGAGAAAAAAGAATAAAAAGAAATGAGCAAAGCCTCCAAGAAATATGGGACTATGTGAAAAGACCAAATCTACGTCTGATTGGTGTACCTGAAAGTGATGGGGAGAATGGAACCAAGTTGGAAAACACTCTGCAGGATATTATCCAGGAGAACTTCCCCAATCTAGCAAGGCAGGCCAACGTTCAGATTCAGGAAATACAGAGAACGCCACAAAGATACTCCTCGAGAAGAGCAACTCCAAGACACATAATTGTCAGTTTCACCAAAGTTGAAATGAAGGAAAAAATGTTAAGGGCAGCCAGAGAGAAAGGTCGGGTTACCCTCAAAGGGAAGCCCATCAGACTAACAGCGGATCTCTTGGCAGAAAACCTACAAGCCAGAAGAGAGTGGGGGCCAATATTCAACATTCTTAAAGAAAAGAATTTTCAACCCAGAATTTCATATCCAGCCAAACTAAGCTTCATAAGCGAAGGAGAAATAAAATCCTTTACACACAAGCAAATGCTGAGAGATTCTGTCACCACCAGGCCTGCCCTAAAAGAGCTCCTGAAGGAAGCGTTAAACATGGAAAGGAACAACCGGTACCAGCCGCTGCAAAATCATGCCAAAATGTAAAGACCATCAAGACTAGGAAGAAACTGCATCAACTAACGAGCAAAATAACCAGCTAACATCATAATGACAGGATCAAATTCACACATAACAATATTAACTTTAAATGTAAATGGACTAAATGCTCCAATTAAAAGACACAGACTGGCAAATTGGATAAAGAATCAAGACCCATCAGTGTGCTGTATTCAGGAAACCCATCTCACGTGCAGAGACACACATAGGCTCAAAATAAAAGGATGGAGGAAGATCTACCAAGCAAATGGAAAACAAAAAAAGGCAGGGGCTGCAATCCTAGTCTCTGATAAAACAGACTTTAAACCAACAAAGATCAAAAGAGACAAAGAAGGCCATTACATAATGGTAAAGGGATCAATTCAACAAGAAAAGCTAACTATCCTAAATATATATGCACCCAATACAGGAGCACCCAGATTCATAAAGCAAGTCCTGAGTGGCCTACAAAGAGACTTAGACTCCCACACATTAATAATGGGAGACTTTAACACCCCACTGTCAACATTAGACAGATCAACGAGACAGAAAGTCAACAAGGATACCCAGGAATTGAACTCAGCTCTGCACCAAGCAGACCTAATAGACATCTACAGAACTCTCCACCCCAAATCAACAGAATATACATTTTTTTCAGCACCACACCACACCTATTCCAAAATTGACCACAAACTTGGAAGTAAAGCTCTCCTCTGCAAATGTAAAAGAACAGAGATTGTAACAAACTATCTCTCAGACCACAGTGCAATCAAACTAGAACTCAGGATTAAGAATCGCACTCAAAACCGCTCAACTACATGGCAACTGAACAATCTGCTCCTGAATGACTACAGGGTACATAACGAAATGAAGGCAGAAATAAAGATGTTCTTTGAAACCAACGAGAACAAAGATACAACATACCAGAATCTCTGGGACACATTCAAAGCAGTGTGTAGAGGGAAATTTATAGCACTAAACACCCACAGGAGAAAGCAGGAAAGATCCAAAATTGACACCCTAACATCACAATTAAAAGAACTAGAAAAGCAAGAGCAAACACATTCAAAAGCTAGCAGAAGGCAAGAAATAACTAAAATCAGAGCAGAACTGAAGGAAATAGAGACACAAAAAACCCATCAAAACATTAATGAATCCAGGAGCTGGTTTTTTGAAAGGATCAACAAAATTGATAGACCGCTAGCAAGACTAATAAAGAAAAAAAGAGAGAAGAATCAAATAGACGCAATAAAAAATGATAAAGGGGATATCACCACCGATCCCACAGAAATACAAACTACCATCAGAGGATACTACAAACACCTCTACGCAAATAAACTAGAAAATCTAGAAGAAATGGATAAATTCCTCGACACATACACTCTCCCAAGACTAAACCAGGAAGAAGTTGAATCTCTGAACAGACCAATAACAGGAGCTGAAATTGTGGCAATAATCAATAGCATACGAATCAAAAGGAGTCCAGGACCAGACGGATTCACAGCCGAATTCTACCAGAGGTACAAGGAGGAGCTGGTACCATTCCTTCTGAAACTATTCCAATCAATAGAAAAAGAGGGAATCCTCCCTAACTCATTTTATGAGGCCAGCATCATTCTGATACCAAAGCCAGGAAGAGACACAACCAAAAAAGAGAATTTTAGACCAATATCCTTGATGAACATTGATGCAAAAATCCTCAATAAAATACTGGCAAAACGAATCCAGCAGCACATCAAAAAGCTTATCCACCATGACCAAGTGGGCTTCATCCCTGGGATGCAAGGCTGGTTCAATACACACAAATCAATAAATGTAATCCAACATATAAACAGAGCCAAAGACAAAAATCACATGATTATCTCAATAGATGCAGAAAAAGCCTTTGACAAAATTCAACAACCCTTCATTCTAAAAACTCTCAATAAATTAGGTATTGATGGGACGCATTTCAAAATAATAAGAGCTATCTATGACAAACCCACAGCCAATATCATACTGAATGGGCAAAAACTGGAAGCATTCCCTTTGAAAACTGGCACAAGACAGGGATGCCCTCTCTCACCACTCCTATTCAACATAGTGTTGGAAGTTCTGGCCAGGGCAATTAGGCAGGAGAAGGAAATAAAGGGTATTCAATTAGGAAAAGAGGAAGTCAAATTGTCCCTGTTTGCAGACGACATGATTGTATATCTAGAAAACCCCATTGTCTCAGCCCAAAATCTCCTTAAGCTGATAAGCAACTTCAGCAAAGTCTCAGGATACAAAATCAATGTACAAAAATCACAAGCATTCTTATACACCAACAACAGACAAACAGAGAGCCAAATCATGAGTGAAATCCCATTCACAATTGCTTCAAAGAGAATAAAATACCTAGGAATCCAACTTACAAGGGATGTGAAGGACCTCTTCAAGGAGAACTACAAACCACTGCTCAAGGAAATAAAAGAGGATACAAACAAATGGAAGAACATTCCATGCTCATGGGTAGGAAGAATGAATATCGTGAAAATGGCCATACTGCCCAAGGTAATTTATAGATTCAATGCCATCCCCATCAAGCTACCAATGCCTTTCTTCACAGAATTGGAAAAAACTACTTTAAAGTTCATTTGGAACCAAAAAAGAGCCCACATTGCCAAGTCAATCCTAAGCCAAAAGAACAAAGCTGGAGGCATCACACTACCTGACTTCAAACTATACTACAAGGCTGCAGTAACCAAAACAGCATGGTACTGGTACCAAAACAGAGATATAGATCAATGGAACAGAACAGAGCCCTCAGAAATAACGCCGCGTATCTACAACTATCTGATCTTTGACAAACCTGACAAAAACAAGAAATGGGGAAAGGATTCCCTATTTAATAAATGGTGCTGGGAAAACTGGCTAGCCATATGTAGAAAGCTGAAACTGGATCCCTTCCTTACACCTTATACAAAAATTAATTCAAGATGGATTAAAGACTTAAACGTTAGACCTAATACCATAAAAACCCTAGAAGAAAACCTAGGCATTACCATTCAGGACATAGGCATGGGCAAGGACTTCATGTCTAAAACACCAAAAGCAATGACAACAAAAGACAAAATTGACAAATGGGATCTAATTAAACTAAAGAGCTTCTGCACAGCAAAAGAAACTACCATCAGAGTGAACAGGCAACCTACAGAATAGGAGAAAATTTTTGCAACCTACTCATCTGACAAAGTGCTAATATCCAGAATCTACAATGAATTCCAACAAATTTAGAAGAAAAAAACAAACAACCCCATCAAGAAGTAGGTGAAGGACATGAACAGACACTTCTCAAAAGAAGACATTTATGCAGCCAAAAAACACATGAAAAAATGCTCATCATCACTGGCCATCAGAGAAATGCAAATCAAAACCACAATGACATACCATCTCACACCAGTTAGAATGGCAATCATTAAAAAGTCAGGAAACAACAGGTGCTGGAGAGGATGTGGAGAAATAGGAACACTTTTACACTGTTGGTGGGACTGTAAACTAGTTCAACCCTTGTGGAAGTCAGTGTGGCGATTCCTCAGGGATCTAGAACTAGAAATACCATTTGACCCAGCCATCCCATTACTGGGTATATACCCAAAGGACTATAAATCATGCTGCTATAAAGACACATGCACACGTATGTTTATTGTGGCATTATTCACAATAGCAAAGACTTGGAACCAACCCAAATGTCCAACAATGATAGACTGGATTAAGAAAATGTGGCACATATACACCATGGAATACTATGCAGCCATAAAAAATGATGAGTTCATGTCCTTTGTAGGGACATGGATGAAATTGGAAATCATCATTCTCAGTAAACTATCGCAAGAACAAAAAAACCAAACACCGCATATTCTCACTCATTGGTGGGAATTGAACAATGAGATCACATGGACACAGGAAGGGGAACATCACACTCTGGGGACTGTTGTGGGGTGGGGGGAGTGGGGAGGGATAGCATTGGGAGATATACCTAATGCTAGATGACGAGTTAGTGGGTGCAGTGCACCAGCATGGCACATGTATACATATGTAACTAACCTGTACAATGTGCACATGTACCCTAAAACTTAAAGTGTAATAAAAAAATAATAAAAAAATAAATAAAAAGAAAAAAAAAAGAAAGTTAAAAACAGAATTTTATTATATGATATGTAATATATAGAAACCTTATATATGTGCGTGTATATATATTACGTGTATAATGGCACTATATGAAATGTATACATATCTAATGTATATATATATGCATATATATACACACACACATATATATACACATACATACATATATCAGAAATATTTTGTCCATCCTAGTATTTCAAACTATAGAGACAATAACAGAATTAACTGAGGAGGTTTAATTACAGAAGTTAAGATTTTTATTACAGCCATGTGAATGAGGCAGACACCAAAAATTGATTTGGTATGGAAAAGCAAAAATTTTGCCTAAAGGCTCAGAAATGATGCTAACCGACCAAATGGTTAGGCCTAAACCATAATAGAATCTACCTTGATTGGTATTCCAAGATCCAGGCTCTGCTCTTCTCTCCAAATTTATCTTGGGAAAGGCTTGATTAGACCATTGATAGTTCATCAGATTTAGGGGAGGCTCATTTAAACTAACTGGATGCAAGGAACACTAATGTTTATAAACATAAATCCTTGTTAATTTTTCTTAATAAATATTTCTTGCCAGTAATAAAAAAGTATTTATGTACATTGTCCATGGAAAATACTTTCCATTATTAGAACACTTAGGAGGAATAATAAGATAGCTTTTTGCTATGTATGAAATCATAACTGACATAGTCTTGACTGTGGAAATCCAAAACAATTTGAATAATTTTAAATTTGTAAAATATTCAGCAACATTTACTGATAATCTTCATGTGAAAGGGAGACATCATTTGGCTTGGGGTTCTTTATCAACCTTTTTCCAAATACAGAGTACTTCTTCTCCTGAGAGTCACCTATAGCTAGGGCACAGCAAGATTTAAAGCTGTGTTTCTACGTCTTCTCCCTCAGTCACCTCATGTTATCACAGACAATGGAGCTATGAAAAGGTACTTGTTTTATTTCCCCACCCCAGCTTAATGAATCCAAAGGTCAGGAAAATAATCTCTAATGAAACAATTACCATGTATAGAGATAACTTCTAGCCTAGAATGTGAGAAAAGATGCTATGGAAGCATCAAGCTTTCCTTTATACAGTTACTAAATCTGAGACTCAATAATAATCAGAAGATTTTCAGAATAATATAGGAAAAGAATGAGCATTCAAGGAAAAAGATACATCAGGTACAAGGGTAGTGAAAAGTGAGGAATCTGAACTATCAAAAACTGTAAATAAATCTATGACAGAAGTATAGGAAACTGGAAGGAGTGAATTAAGAAATAGAAAAGAGCCAGATCATAAAGGGTCTTGTAGGTCAAGCGTTTTTAATTTATCTTGTATTTGATGCATGACGAGGTAACATTTTTGAATAGACTCAAAACTAGAGGATTGAGAGACTGCCTTCAAATTTTTATTGCTGGCTGTGACTATGATTTCAGCAATGAAAGATGAATTAAACTAAGCATTGGCTGTGGTTTGAAATTTATGGAAATTTGAGCGACATTTATAAATCAGTATCAGCAGAGCTATTGAACAATGAGTTGTACGGAATAAGAAACTAAAGTCATGTAGAATGAATCTCAGGTCACTCGCTTCATTAATAGTGGTACTGCCAGCTACAAATGGAGAAATAATGCAAAATGAGGCAGTGAATTTTAAACTTGGGTGATATTTCATATGTTAGCTGTACTATAATATTTTTCCAAAGACCTTGACAATGAGATTATGAATAAAACAAATTGCCATAAGAAGTACACTTTTAATGAAATA
Source organism: Homo sapiens (assembly GCF_000001405.40). NCBI lineage: Eukaryota > Metazoa > Chordata > Mammalia > Primates > Hominidae > Homo > Homo sapiens. Next base: position 59,984,418 of record NC_000016.10, read on the forward strand.
CTTGTAATTTTTAAAAGTCAGGTACTGTGTTCATAGATTGGAAGACTTAATATTGTTAAGATATCAATACTACCAGAGTGATGAACTGGTTCAACATAATTCCCATCAAAATCTTATGGTGTATTTTGCAGAAATAGAAAAATCCATCCTGAACTGTATATGGAATATTTGGGTACCCCAAATAGCCAAAACAACCATGAAAAAACAAAGTTGGAGGTCTTACACTTCCTGATTTCTAAACATATTACAAAGCTACAATAATCAAAACAGTAATCAAAGCTGGCATACAGACAGACAGATAGACCAATGGAATAGAATAAAGATTCCAGAAATAAACTCTTAAGTATATGGTCAAATGATCTTCAACAAGAGTACTAAGAGCATTCAGTGAAGGAAAACAATCTCTTTAAAAAATTGTGCTGGGAAAACTGAAATATCTGAATTAAAAAAGATGAGGTTGAATCCTTATCTTACAGCATACACAAAAGTCGACTAAAAGTGGATTAAAGACTCAAATGTCAGCCTGGTCCCACATGGTGAAACCCTGTCTCTACTAAAAAATGCAAAAATTAGCCAGGCAAGGTGGTGGGCACCTGTAATCCCAGCTACTTGGGAGACTGAAGCAGGAAAATCACTTGAACCTGGGAGGTGGAGGTTGCAGAGAGCCAAGATCACACCACTGCACTGCAGCCTCGGTGATAGAGCGAGACGACTCTGACCCCCCAAAAAAAAAATTAAATAAAAAGACTCAAATGTAAGACATAAAACTGCTAGAAAAAAAACAGGGAAAAAAACTTCATGACATTGGAACTGGTGATGATTTCTTGAATATGACACCCAAAGCTCAGGCAACAACAAAAATTAGACAAATCGGACTATATCAAATTTAAAAAGCTTTTGTATGTTGATATGGTTAGGCTTTGTGTCCCTACCCAGATCTCATCTTGAATTGTAATCCCTGTAAGCCTCGCAATCCCCACCTGTCAAGGGAGAGACCAAATGGAGGTAACTGAATTATGGGGGACGGGTTCCCCCATGGTGTTGAGTGAGTTCTCACAAGATCTAATGGTTTTATAAGGTGCTCTTCCCCCTTTGCTCAGCACTTCTCCTTCCTGCCATCTTGTGAAGAAGGTGCCTTGCTTCTCCTTCACCATCCACCATGATTATAAGTTTCCTGAGGCTTCCCAAGCCATAAGGAAACTGAATCTAACCTCTTTTCTTTATCAATTATTTAGTCTTAGGCAGTTCTTTGTAGTAGTGTGAGAACGGACTAATACCTATATCAACAGATAAAATCATCGGAGTGAATACATAATCTATGGAACAGGAGAAAATATTTGGAAATCATATATCTAGGGAGCAACTAATATTCAGAATACAAAAAGAACTTTTATGACTCAACCAAAAGAAACCCCAAATAACCCAATTAAAAAGGGGGCAAAGGACTTCAGTAGACATATCTCACATGAAGATATACAAATGACCTGCAAGCACATGAAAAGATGATCACCATCACTAATCATCATGAAAATGCAAATCAAAACCACAATTAGATATAACCATACACCATTAGAATGGCTACCATAAAAAGTAATGCAAAATAACAAGTGTTGAGGAGGACGTAAAGAAATCATACCCTTTGTGGCACTGTTGGCATGACTGTGCAATGGTGTAACCATGATGGAAAACAGTAAGTTAATTCCAAAAAAAATTCAAAATAGAACTATCATATGATCCAGTAATCCCACTTCTTGGTGTATATGCAAAAGAACATAAAGTGGGATCTCAAAGAGTTATTTGCCCACCCATGTTCATAGCAGCATTGGTCACAATATCTAAGAGGTGGAAGTAACCCATATGTCTATTGACAGACGAATGGATAAACAAAATGAAATGTTATTCAGCTTTAAAAAGGAAGGAAATCCTGTCACATACTACAACATGGATGAACCTTAAGGACATTGTGCTATGTGAAATAAGCCAGTCACAAAAAGACAATACTATATAATTCCACTTATATGAGCTATCTAAGGTAGCCAAATTCATAGAAACAGAAAATCAGATGGTGGTTATCGGGGGCTAGAGAGGAGGTGGGAGGTGATTGTCTAATGGGTACAGAATTTCAATTTTACAACATGAAAAAGTTCTGGCAACAATGTAAATGTACATAACCCTACTGAACAGTATACTTAAAAATGGTTGAGATGGTAAATTTTATGTCACGTTTTTTACCAAAATTTTTTAAAAGTCAGGGAAGAATCCTAAGTCCAAAAGAGCTATCAAAAGGTTGTTTTGCTCCAAATATGTTATGCAGATAGATTGTGTGTGTGTGTGTGTGTGTGTGTGTGTGTGTGTGTGCATGTGTGTGTGTTCACTCATTAAAAAGGAACTGAGAAAATATACTATTTGCCTAAACTCATCTCTTTGAAATAAAAAATATCAGTATATAAATTTGTTTCCATTGCTCAGATTTCATTGTCCTCTCTAAGGTAAACTTTGACTAATCACTAAATGTGGCACTCTCTAATGCATATGATATATTAAAATATTAAAAGTTTGACCCAGGCTTACAGAGAAATGGGGCTACATGCTTTAGCTGTATGTCTCAGGGAAGGTAAGTGGTCTTTTTTCTGTGCTTTATGAACACTGAGCAGGGTCAGAGATCCTTTAAGAATTTCTTTACCAACTAATAGAGAGCTTTAGTGAAAACATAATCAGGAATATTCCAATTTATTTCTATTTGATTTCATTTTACCATGTCAGTATTTCTTCAGAGCTATATGTCAAAGTGTCCCTTAAGTTATAGGAATAGGCTTCAAATGTTAGACATCGAAAATAATATTATGTTAAAATAAATATATTACTTCAAGGAGATTTGGTTTAAATTCTTTTAACCAGAGAACAAAAAGATGTGTCCTGGTGTTTCAAGAGCCCAGACTTAGTAATCAGACAATCTTGTTTAAGTTTCATCCTGGCCATTTACTATAGGTGCTCGTTAAACTTCTTAAGTCTCTATATTTAAAAATCTATAAATTTAGAATGATAATTCATACCCAGTTGAGTAATTAAAAGGATTACCTTTGTCTAATAAGGGACCTGACACATATAATATTTAATAAGTGGTAATAATAATTCATTGTTATTATTACAGTAATTTAGAAAACTAAATATAAACAGTAATTATAGTATTATATAAATTTTAGTAGTACAAAACTATAAAGTAAAAGTGCAGGTATAATAAATGGTATTTATATATTGTAAATATAATATTTATAAATAATAATGATACAGTATTTTAATATTTATTAGTCATTATTATTTAAAGGCTATAAAATGATAATAATGTAATAGTTTTGATGTTAAGTCAAAGCTATTCTACCCAAGTTATGCCGTAGTACAGAAGTAAATTACTATAACCTTTTGTATTACATGCATTGTCAGCATACCTGGGAGAATTACTACATCCAAAAGGACCACTCTTACGTCTCTGCAATTTTATAACTCTTTATGAGATTGTAGCAATCTGTCCACAGTACAATTCTGAACTTGGTGGTGATGGTGGTAAAAGCTGTTAGTAAAATCTTTCCCTATTTTTCTTTATGCGTAGTCAAGACACAGCATTTCTTGGCCAATAAAGCCAGCAGGACAATATCACGCTTGTGTTTATAGCATAGTAAGAGTCTCTTGTATTTGCATAATGCTCTAATGCTTTATAAAGCTCTTACCCATACAGTAAATTACTTGAGCTTCACAATAACCCTGTATAACCACCTCCACTTTACGGCTGAGGAAATAAAATTCACCAGAAGTGAAAATCTTGTCCAAGGTGAGACATCAGTGAAATGTTTGATTTGAGGTTTGATCCCTTTACTTGCAGTGTTTTTTTCTTTCTCATTATACCATTCCTCCTAAGTATCAGAATATCACTTGTGTATGTTGAGAGAAAATTTAGACAGTCGCTGAGGTTAGAGAATAAATTAAGTAAACCTGAAAAATGTTCGCGAATCTTGGTTTTCCAAACTTAAAATGATATTGCTCATGCTCACCCTAAAATCAATACAGTACAACGCTTTCTTTCAAACCTAAGTCGGTTCTATTTAATCATATCTATTTCCTGGTTTGCTCAGTCTATATGCCTGTACAAGTGATCATCCAACCAGCTAACCCTCGTCACCCCCTATAATCTCTTGTTCATAACACTCATCTCAAGTGAGCTACTTATTTAACATTTGTCTCACCCATGAGATTTTTGTGACAGTAGAAACTCCAACCATCACACATCTCTGTATTTACCCTCTTTGCAATGTGAATTGTTGATACCTAACATTGTGTCAATTCTGACCCTAGGCTGTAAAAACGCTTTCATGTTTCCTCTTGTCTCTGCCAGCACTCTGAGATGAACATGTTTAGACAAGCCCAGTAGTCACAGATGAAAGATAAATGACAAGTAGAGAAGAGCCTAAATCAGGTAACATCTAGATATGTGAGACACAATGTCAGCAAAAATGGTGAATGGAGGACCTCCAAAACTTCTCTGCTCTTTTCCACAAAAGCAGCAGGAATACTGCAAGAAATTATCATTATCAACATGTTCAGTGCCCTATAAATTAAAGGTTGCAACATTCTGGAAAGCATGTGTTCCAGAAAAATGGCTAAATCTTGATGGGAACAGCAATCCTTATGACATTTAGCTCACCTTATTTTTATGACCCCCCCAGTTCCTGCTTCATGGTAACCTTGGAAACTAACTGCCCATAATCACAGGAAAACCAGTAACTTGAAAGCCACTGGAGAGGGAAGAATGGGATGCAGCTCTTTCAAGGTCCCATTCCCAGGGAATTATCATTATTTGTCTTGTCTGATGGTTCCTTAGATGACCCTATTCATAATGCTGTCTTTCCTTGAGATTTCTCAGGACAAACAGCATTCTCCCCTGGGAGCATTTGTTTCAAACCATCAGAGGCAACTGTTTAATTTAATGGCTGACTAAGGTGGCTTATGTCAGCTGGGAGAAGCAATTGAATGAGATGTTCATAGGGAGCTTTGCAAAGCCCTGACAGATTCCTGAAAATCTAGAAGACTGTGTGCATGTGCAAGAATGTGCATTCTCAGGAAACACCTGAGAAGGCTATAACTTCTCACCTATGGTTCATCTTGAGACTCAGCATGAGCAAGAAATGAAAATTAAGGTGAATTTGTAAACTACCCAGTTGAATGTTGAAGGCAGGCCTCAAAATGCACACCAAACCTCTTAGCAAAGATTTGAAACTTATTGGTTTCAAGCATTTGAGGAAATCCCTGCCTATTAGTTGACCACAAATTGAACTGACAACAACTGCATTAGACACACACACACACACACACACACACACACACACACACACAAGTTATGACTTATGACTTCAGGCAAGTCATAACACAACAAGCAACAACAACAAGAGCAAATTCTGAGTAAGTGTCAAAATCTGATTTTTATATTTGTTAAATTATATTGTTTAAAATATCCAATTTTCAACAGAAAATTGCAAGACATGAAAAAATTAAGAAAGTAAAACTCATGCACAGGCAAAGAAGCAGTTAACAGAAATAGTCCCTCAGGAAGCCCAGATGTTGGACTTAAATCTTTCTGATTTTAAGTCAGCTATTTTAAATACATTCAGAGCATTAAAGGAAGTCATACCTACAGAAATAAAAGAAAGTATACAAACAATGTCTCATCTAATAGAAAATATCAATAAAGAGAGAAGTTATTAAAAAGGAACCCAATAGAAATTATGGAGTTAAAAACTGCAATAACTGAAATGAAAAATCCACCAGAGGAGTCAAATGTAGATTTTAAGCAGGCAGAAGAAAGAACTAGCAAACTTGATGAGTGGTCAGTTGAGATGTGTGAGAGGGCCAATCAAAGATCAGCAGTGCCACTTAGCTGGACCTCTCTTAGGTCAGCCAACTTCCAGCAAATCCCCATATTTTTGTGCTGTATAGATACTGTTGTGATTCTGAGATTTGATGGTTGTATGATATGCAGCATTTTTGTGGCCATAGTTGAGCAATACAGACTGTAAGGACCATGAGGGCCACTGATACATTTATGCTGTTCCCTGCTATACATCCAATGTCTGAAACTTAATAGATATTTATATCTAAATATATGTTAAAATGATTTCCTTTTAATTGGAAAGTGCCCTGTTAGTTTAAGTTTAGTCTCCTCATTCATAGAATAAGCAAATTAAAGTGGTTTTTAAGAAGATTATTCTCAAGACTTAAATTGCCTAATTGTTTACAGGTTGTCTGTAAAAACTTCTCAGCCTTAGTTGCATTGTATAGGATGAAAAAGTTCCACATAAATAATAGAAATATTTATTGAATATTCCTAATGCCAGATATTGGAAGTGATTTAAGAACAATATTGACAAGTGGTTCTCCTATGCTTAAATAAAAAGAAAATGTCCTATAAATGGGCTATATCTTGTTAATTTTCTCAAGACATGATATTCCTAAATATCAAGACATGATATTCCTAAATATCATGTACTCTCTTAGTTCTCCACCACACACCTAAAGTGCACTTACTTCATGGAAAACAGCTTTGTTTCCATAGTTACATTTCAATAGTATTATTTCAGCCCCACTCCATATAGTTTTTCTCAAAAAGGTTATAGCATCTTGATGGAAAGTCAAACTGCATTTAACATTTAACTATAAAAGTGTTTTTTATCGAATATAATTCTTTCATTTTCTGATCTGTAATGTGAAATTTGAGGAAGAAGATTTCAAATGTAATCCCAAAATTAATGTACAAGAACAAAACTCTTTGAGATATTATCTTAAGTATTATATTTTGAAATCCAATTCAATATTCAGAAATGATTATTTTACCCATTAAGTTGTTGACAGACAACATTGCTGATAAACGTGTTTCTTCAGAGTCACTTCATAATTTAATATGTGACGTCATATCAAATCTGTCTCTGGCATGGCTTCCCCCTTTTACTGTCAAGTCCTCTTGCTGGCTGCCTCATGTCTTTGATTCTATGATGGTTGAGGGAAGATGTGCCCACTTTGAAGCATAGTATTCTTGACCATCTCATTTTCCTCCTAGCAAACCTCTGTCTCTTTTGTCTGTTTCCTCCCTCCTCAAATAGAAATAATCCAAGTATTTTGTCAAGTATTATAGATCTTAATGTCTAAATATGTTTGACGTGTAAGATAACTTTTGTGTTTAGCACATTGACTGACATGTTTATGACTGTTTTAATGAATGTTTACTATTTTTATTATTGTTATCACTTATTATGAAAATTGAAAGGCAGACTTTGGAGCACAGTCTCTCTAACCCAACCTGCTTCCTTGCTAGTTTCCTATGTTCCATACTGACATATTCTTCAGACATATTCATACATGTTCTCCACTCTAAGTGTAAAATGTTGTACAGTCTGATTTACTTGAAAATAAAATCTGACACTCCAATTTCAATTACTCTTTTAAAAATTTTGTTTTTCCACAATTTCCTGTTCAATAATATTCATTGTCTCAATATTCTGGGAATATTTAGCTGATCATCTTCAGCAAGAAATGAGTCTGATGATAATTCTGTCTTGTTTCTTGGCAAATTTTTTTCCATAAATTATTGGGGTATGGGTGGTATTGGCAGTTCTTGTACTTGGATGTCTAGGTCTCTAGCTAGGCCAGGGAAGTTTTTCTTCTTTATTCCCCCAAATATTTTTTCCAAGCTTTTAGAATTCTCTTCTTCCTCAGGAACATCCATTATTCTTAGGTTTAGTCATTTAACATAATCCCAGACTTCTTGGAGGCTTCATTCTTATTTTCTTATTCCTTTTTCTTTGTCTTTGTTGCATTGGGTTAATTTGCATACCTTGTCTTCAAGCTCTGAATTTATTTCTTCTATCTGTTCAATTCTATTGCTGCAACTTTCCAGAGCATTTGGCATTTCCAAAAGTGTGTCCAAAGTTTCCTGAATTTTTGGTTGTTTTTTCTTTAAACTCTTTATTTCCTTGAATATGTCTCCCTTCACTTCTTGTATTGTTTTTTGGATTTCCTTGCATTGGGCTTCTCCTTTCTCTGGTGCCTCCCTAATTAGCTTAAAAACTAATCTCCTGAATTCTGTATCCATTGCTGGTGAACTAGCATAATTTTTGAGTGGTGCTGAAGAGCCTTGTTTTGTCATATTACCACGGTTGGTTTTCTGGTTCTTTTTCATTTGAGTAGGCTCTGTCAGAGGGAAGCTCTAGGGCTGAAGGTTGTTGTTCAGATTTTTTTCTCCCACGGGGTATTCCCTTGATGTAGTACTCTCTCCCTCTTCCTAAGGATGTGGCTTCCTGTGAGCCGAACTGCAGTGATTGTTGTCTCTCTTCTGGGTCTAGCCACCCAGGGAGTCTACCTGGCTCTGGGCTGGTACTGGGGGTTGTCTGCACAGAGTCCTGTGATGTGAACCGTCTATGGGTCTCTCAGCCTTGGATACCAGCACCTGTTCTGATAGAAGTGACGGGGCACTGTGCAATGGACTCAGTGAGGGTTCTTAGCTTTGGTGGTTTAATGCTCTATTTTTGTGCTGGTTGGCCTCCTGCTGGGAGGTGGCACTTTCCAGAAAGCATCAGCTATAGTAGTATGGAGAGGGACCAGCAGTGGGCGGGGCCCTAGAACTCCCAAGATTATATGCCCTTTGTCTTTTGCTACCAGGGTGGGAAGGGAAAGACCATCACGTTGGGGTTGGGCTAGGTGTGCCTGAGCTCAGGCTCTCCTTGGGCGGGTCTTGCTGCAGCTGCTGTGGGGGATGGGAGTGAGAATCCGAGGTCAATGGAGTTGTGTACCTACGAGGATTATGGCTGCCTCTGCTGAGTCACGCCGGTTTATCAGGGAAGTGGGGGAAAGCCAGCAGTCACAGGACTCACCCAGCTCCCATGCAAACAGAAGGGCTGGTCTCACTCCCATCATGCCCCCGCCCCCAACAGCCTGGAGTCTGTTTCCAGGAGGCGGGTGAGACAGGCTTGAAAGCTTGCCCCAGGCTCCCTGCTTCCCAGTGGCGAAAGAAAGGGGCTTGTTTCTTCTCCAACCCGTGGAGTCTGCACATTGGATTTGTGCCCGCCCCCAAGTACTGCCCATGAGGCTTCTTGCCCCATTCAAAATGTTACAAAGTTCAGCTGGCAATTTCCTTCTCCCTGTGGAGTTTTACCCCCTGCTCCTCTGGCCGCCCTCCTGATGGATTCCTGTGGTGCCAGGAAGGAATGGCCTGCTTGGGGACCCAGTGAGCTCCCAGGGCCTTTCTGCTGCTTCCTCTACTCGTGTAATTCCCTCAGCTCTCTAAATTGACTCAGCTCCAGGTAAAGTCGGAAACTTCTCCTGCAAACAGACCTTCAGCTTCTCCAGTGAGGGTGTATGTTCGGGAGAGAAGGGTCTCCCTTTCCCACTTCCGCAGTTGGGGCACTCACAGCCATGTTCTTGCCATTGCACGCTCACGTGGGTGTCTCCCAGGTCCTGCGGGAGCAGTCCGCTTCCTTCAGAGGGTCCGTGGGTCTATTCAGGATTGCTGGTTTGTTCTTGCAGTTGATCTGGAGCTAAAATTCACAATGCAAGCCTCCGCACACTGCTCTGTCTGGAGCTGCAATCTAGTCCTGCCTCCCATCCGCCATGATGATCCACAGTCTGTTTCTTGGCAATATTCTTAATTTAATTTGTTGAGGTTGTAATTCCTCCTCTTCAATTCTTTTATCTAGTGAGTCACCAAATTCTGCTTATTATTCCTTTGAAGTCCTACCTATTCATCATTCTACCAGCAGAATGGCTTCAGTATTTAGGGCTGGGTTTGCATAAACCCAGTATTTGTGCTGGGTTTGCAGCACAAAAAAGGGCTGCACTTTTCTACTTGATTGTTCTGATCTCAATCTTTCCCTAGTTAATCCTTCTGTTATTCATAATCTGATAAATCGTAAAATCTTATGTTTATGTCTCTCAAAGATCTATAAGAATGTCTATACCGGCTAGCTCTAGGGTGACCAACCATCACAGTTTGCCTGGAACTGAGGAGGTTCCTAGGAAGTGGACCTTTCAGTATTAAATGCTGGAAACTCCCAAGCCAAACCAGGGCAGTTGCTTTCTTTACCTGTGCATCACCAGACATGCTCTCAGTGTAGGCTTTTCTGTGTTGTCAAATGAAATCTCATTTTTCTAGCTACACAAATATTGATGCCTTCATTTAGAGCTTTTATTCTGAAAAGTGTTCCATCATATCAACTTTAGCAGAGAAAACTTGAGACTCAAAAAATAATAACAAAAAAAGAAAGTAGTTAAATGCAAAACAATTTAAAGTCACTTTTGCTATTTAAATTTGATTCCAAAGGATGTGCTTTTAGTATTTCACTGTACTACTTCAGATAGGTCCCTTCCTCTAGCTATGTTCCAATTTAGAATAGGAGAAACAAATGCATAATTTTAATTATGTTAAAAATATGTTATCAACTATGCACAGAGCACAATTTGAGTTGAAAAGGAAAAAGACTCCAATTTTGCTGGGGAAATAAATAAGGGAAGGTTTCAATGATAATGAGACATTAAACAAGACCTTAAAAATTAGAGAGTAAGACATGGCTGGAATGCAGACAAGAATAAGCACAGAAACAAAGATGTAGAGAGAGATTGCAGATCACGTAAAAATCCAGACGAAAACATATAAGTTGAAGAGTGGGAGATGGGTTCGGAAAAGATGAGAAAATATGGGATATCTTGAAAGACAAGTAAGGAATCAGTGCTTTATCCTTTTATTTCAGTTAGAATACTTGAACCCAATCATCTACATTTCCAGCCCAACAAAGAGATGCCCTATGAGTACTTAACACCATTTTTCCTGTGATTTCAGAAGACTCCACTGCAGTGATACCTAAAAAGAGTTGCAGACAAGTGGAGAGTAATGTGGAGCCTCATTAGATGGCTATGCCCATAAGCCAACTGAGAATACTGTGGGGCCAGACATGGTGGCTCACGCCTGTAATCCCAGCACTTTGGTAGGACAAGGCAGGCAGATTGCTTGAGCTCAGGAGTTCAAGACCAGCCTTGGCAACATAGCAAAATCCCATCTCTACAAAAACAAAAAATTAACGGAGTGTGGGGGTGCATTCCTGTAGTTCCAGCTACTTGGGAGGCTGAGGCAGGAGGATCACTTGAGCCTTGAAGGTCCAGCCATGTTCGTGCCTCTGCATGCCAACCTGGGTGATAATATAAGACCCTGTGTCAAAAAAATAAATGAATAAAGGAGAAAATACCATGCATGGGACTTAAAAGCAGATTTTTGAGTCTCAATCATTTTCCTACCTTACATAATTTTTTTTTCTTTTTTTGGGGTGGAGTCTCACTCTGTTGCCCAGGCTGGAGTGCAATGGTGCAATCTTGGCTCACTGCAACCTCCACCTCCTGGGTTCAAGTGATTCTTCTGCTTCAGACTCCTGAGTAGCTGGGATTACAGTTTCCTGCCACTATGCCCAGCTAATTTTTTTTTTTTTTGTATTTTTAGTAGAGACGAGGTTTCACCATGTTCACCAGGCTAGTCTTGAACTCCTGAACTCAAGTGATCTGCCCACCTTAGCCACCCAAAGTGCTGGGATTACAGGGGTGAGACACAGCACCTGTCCACCTTACACAAACTTTAAGCAAACATTTACTAAATAGCTATTGTGGGATAAGCATTAGGCTGGATGCAGAGAAACAAACTTAAATGTAAAACAATCCCTTTCTTCAAGAAGTACATACTCCAGAGGGGAGGGAAAAAACAGACAAATATATTGCATTTAGGTCTTAAAGTTTCTAAATTATGTCGACCATTGATGATAGATACTCAGTCCATCTTGGGGAATCCAGGGAAAGCTATTCTGAAAAAGCCAGGCCTGAAATGATTTATAAAGAGTTAAGATACTAATAAAGGAACAGTAACATAAGAGATAAGGAGGGGACAGAACTTCTGGGCAAAGTGATCAGCAAGAGGATTGTGGAGCACTGACTTTTACATTTTTAAGGCAAGGAGATGAGACTAGAAAGCAGGATGTGTAAGCAGGATCAAGATAATGGAGAAACATTGTAAGCCATGTTGAGGAACAGCCTGTCTCCTGCTGAAAGTCACAAAGCACTGTAATGGTATTACAATTAAAAAAAAAAAAAACTCAAAAAATAAACCACAAAGAAAACAGAAGAATGACATGGTCAGCATTACTTTTTAGATAGTACCTGCTAGAAGTCCTATAGGCAATGTTCCCATAACTAGGTCGAAGCTAGAGGCAAGGAGACTAGCCAGCAGGCAATTTTTGTACACTGGAAAAAAAAAGGGGGGGGAAAGATGATGGGATCCATGCTAATATTCCATTTTCAAGGTCTTGCCTATAATTCCACATGCAGATGTTATGATATTTGGTGGCTTAACCTCATAATCAATATATTACTTGAGTCCCCTTTCATTTTACCTTAAACAGTGTTACTCTTCTCAGTAACAGAACAGTTCAAAGGAAGAGTTAGCAGTGTTACATTTTAGGAAAGTGTACCTAGCAACAGCACAAACCAATCTATGGGCTCCTATTTCAAATTTAGAGTAACTGTGATGCAACGTAAAATACAAGTAAGCTTCCAAATCATGATTCTCTGTGCTTCAGAGTACTTTACCTCTCCTTTGGAGTTGATTCCCCTTTCCCAAAAGAGTGATTATGCACAGACCACAAGTTTCTATATCATAGAATAGAATTTATTTGGGAACAAAATGATGGGATGAAAAATAAATAATCTTTATGCAGCAAAATCCCTATAGACAACTAGAGGGCCTGCTTTGCTTTGAAAGAGCAGATTCCTTGTTCCTTGTAAGTCAGTGGAAAACACATATAAAGAGTAGAGGGTCTGTTTTCTTCAGATTTTAAAAATTAGAATACTTTTGTGAAAACAAACATATCTGAAAAATGAAATATTAAAGTGATAAATTAATTTTTAGTTTTTGATTTGACTTTCTTATTCTATACCCCATGTCTTATAAGAAGTGTTAGACTTTAAAAAGAATGTTAACCCGTTGAAATCGGATTAAGGATTCCCAGCAGACAGTGTAGCGATTTCAGAAAAAAACTTTTAAAAACCTCTAGGTTAGACATGTTTTATAATGATTGATACTCTGCTGCTATATTAGAAAATATCAACTAATAACCATGCTAAGTATTAAGAAGCAAAGACTAGAGGATCTTTAAAAAAAGAAAGGAAAAGAAAAATATAACGTTTATATTTAAAGGTTGGGACACAAGTTTTCCCACTGTGACACAAGAGGACATAAGAACTAAAATATGAAGCCAGCTCTTCTTAAAAGTTTGTTGCCTTCAATATACAAGAAACTTGTGTTCTAAATTCCAATAATTGTTTTCAGAGAGAAATGGAACATAAAAATTTCTACGTTAAGTCAAGAATTTCCTGATTAATCAATATTTTCAGCAAGAACTAGTGATTAAATGCTGCCACAGCAAAAATGGATGTTGAGTTGGAGTCCAAGTGCTCATCCAGGTTCACTCTCTGACCAAGGGACTCTCCCTGAACTTCGGCGTCATAATTCACACATTTCAAATTTGAACACCAGGAAAATGAAAAATCACTACATGCATGTGTCTTCTGGAATGGACGTGAATAGTCAAAACCATACTGAAAGCTAGCAGCCACTGAATTGCTGGAGAAAAAGCTTAAGAACTAGGCAAAACACTATAAGGAAGATAGGTAATTTAAAACACTATCATTGGGAAGATTCTTTTTTTTTTTTTTTTTTTTTTGAGACGGAGTCTCGCTCTGTCGCCCAGGCTGGAGTGCAGTGGCGCGATCTCGGCTCACTGCAAGCTCCGCCTCCCGGGTTCACGCCATTCTCCTGCCTCAGCCTCCCGAGTAGCTGGGACTACAGGCACCCGCTACCACGCCCGGCTAATTTTTTGTATTTTTAGTAGAGACGGGGTTTCACCGTGTTAGCCAGGATGGTCTCGATCTCCTGACCTCGTGATCCGCCCGCCTCGGCCTCCCAAAGTGCTGGGATTACAGGCGTGAGCCACCGCACCCGGCCCGGGAAGATTCTATTATTTAATCAGTTAATAACAAAATAACAACTTTAACAATTAAGCTGTTTAAAAATGTCCAAGAGCAAAAAAAAAAAAAAAAAAAAAAAGCAACCCCTCAGAATTATTCAAAGGCTATCAAATGCCTTTCAAACAACCTGGAAACAGGGATAATAAACAGTTTTGAGACAGCTGGGAAAATCTAGGGACAGCTGATAGAAAAGGGTAGTGGTAGAGGAGAGAGAGAGTAATAGAACGGTAAGAGTATAGTTTCTACTTTCAAATTACAAAAATATTTTTGTCCGTTTGAGATTCATGGACAATGACAACAAAGCCACCCCAAAACAACAAAAATGTAGTCTGTATATATAAGGCACATTAGAAATAGATAACAGGACACAGAGCTATTCAGTATGGATATATTACCTGCCACTGCTATTTTAATTATGAACATAAATCACTCAAACTCATATTCACACTCATGGAGCTTGCAGTTGCATAGGAAGGAGAAGTCATGTGTATTAGTGTCTATCTAAACTTTGAGGTATTTCTCATATGAGGAAATGTCATCAGAGGATTGGAAAACTGCTAAATTCCAGCCTTGAGAAGAATTTCAGCAAGGCTGCATGGAGAAAGTATTTTTTTTGTTTGTTTTTCGTTCTTTTTTTTTTTTTTTTGAGACAGAGTCTCGCTCTGTCACCCAGTCTGGAGTGCAGTGGTGCGATCTCCGCTCACTGCAACCTCCAACGCCCGGGTTGAAGGGATTCTCCTGCCTCAGCCTCCCAAGTAACTGGGATTACAGGCACGTGCCACCACGTCAGGCTAATTTTTGTATTTTTTGTACAGACGGGGTTTCTCCATGTTGGTCAGGCTGGTCATGAACTCCTGACCTCGTGATCTGCCTGCCTCAGCCTCCCAAAGTGCTGGGATTACAGACGTGAGCCACTGCGACCGGCCGGAAGTGGTTTTTACATGTCTACATTCTATGTATGCTTCAAACATTAGTTCAGAGTTTCAGAGTACAGGTGGCGGGAAAGGAAGGATAAAACATTCCAGAGGAGAAAAAACACAATAAAGAGAAATGCATTAATAGTGTGTGATTGTTATGCATATTGTTAATACAATGTGAGTCTTAAGTAACTCATAGGAATTTAGTTAAAATATTGAAATTTGCAAAGGATTTTCTTGTACTATAAATGGGAACAAAATCAAGGTTATTCTTAAAGTAATTTAGTCTCTCCATGAAAAGTATGCCACAGTGAGTTAGAAAAAATAAAAGAGTGTTGAAAGGGGAAAGTATGTTTAATAGACCTTGTAATAGAAGTTATCGGGCTTTAAATCAGGGAAGATACGCTGGACTAGTGAAGACTTCGACTACCAAGCGGGAAACCAAAGTCAAACTCGATTCCGCAGAAGGTGAGATTTATTGGTTAAAGTCACTAAATCACAGAGATTGGAGGGGAACAGCATAGTGTCATGGGCCCTGGAAGACAGGACTTATGCCACCAAATTGCTTCCTCCTTTTCCAGCTATGTTTTACTCGGGGCGAATTCATTCTCTATTTCGCCTCCTCTGCGTGGGTGAAAATGTGACTGTTGGCAGCACCTATCTTCACACCTTCTTCATCAACAGAAATAAACTGAATCCCAAATAAAAATACTATTAATAATAACAACAATAATAAATAAAAGAGTACTGATTTACCCATCAACTGGGGCTATGGCTATGGGAGTAAATTATTGTGATTGGCTGAGCTGGGTCTAGATTTTTATTCAGAGTTATTTATAACATGTATGAAAAGGACAGCATCCACTTTCACTCCTGACCCTCAAACCCTATTAATAACAAAAAGCAAGGAGAACTAGTTGAGAAAAGCAGGATGCTATTCTAGGGAGATACAGTAGAAAGTATATGCTATTTGGTCTCTTTTATACAAATTCTGTTATTTTTGGTTTTTTTTTTTGTTTTTTTTTAAACATACTCCATTCTTTCATCAACCCTTACTGCCACTCTCTTTTTAGCTTTTACATTTTATTTAACTTCATTTTTTCTGTTTACTTACTATTTTATCTCTGAATGTCTACTAGAGGAACACAGTAATTGCTCTTAAAATAAAATTGTATTGGTAATGATGATTCTGTCGGACATTAAGCCATACTCTTTCAGATCCAAAGAACACTGGGTACTTGTTAGGCTCTGCCCCTCAAAGTCACTGGGGAAAGGCAAAAAAGCTGAAAGAGGAGAAGTGAGATGGTTTGGCTGTGTCCCCACCCAAATCCCATCTTGAATTTTAGTTCCCATAATACCCCTGTGTGGCGGGAGGGACCCATTGAGAGGTAATTAAATCATGGGGGCAGTTTTCCCCATGTTATTCTCAGGATAGGAGTAAGTTCTCAGACAATGTGAGAACTATATGATGGTTTTATAAGGGGCTTCCTCCTTTGCGTGGCTCTCATTCTTCTCCTTCCTGCTGCCAGGTGAAGAAGAATGTGTTTGCTTCCCCTCCTGCCATGATCGTAAGTTTTCTGAGGCCTCCCCACCCATGAAGAACTGTGAATCAATTAAACCTCTTTCCTTTATAAACTACCTAGTCTCAGGTATTTCTTCATAGCGGCATGAGAACAGACTAGTACAGTATATTGGTACCAGTAGAGTGGGGTGCTGCTATAAGGATACCCCAAAACCTAGAAGCAACTTTCGTACTGGGTAATAGGCAGATGTTGGAACAGTTTGAAGAGCTCAGAAAAAGACAGGAAAATGTGGGAAAGTTTGGAACTTCCTAGAGACTTGTTGAACAGCTTTGAAAAAAAATGCTGATAGTGATATGCAAAATGAAGTCCAGACTGAGGCGGTCTCAAATGGAGATGAGCAACTTGTTGGGAACTGGAGCAAAGGTGACTCTTGTTATGCTTTAGCAAAGAGACTGGTGGCATTTTGCTCCTGCCCTAGAGATCTGTGGAAATTTGAACTTAAGAGAAATGATTTAGGGTATGTGGCAGAAGAAATTTCTAAGCAGCAAAGCATTCAAGAGGAAACAGACCATAAAAGTTTGGAAAATTTGCAGCCTGATGATATGATAGAAAAGAAAAGAAAAACCCATTTTCTACGGAGAAATTCAAGCCCGCTGCAGAAATTTGCATAACCAATGAGGGGCTGAACGTTAATCACAAAGACAATGGGGAAAATGTCTCTAGAACATGTCAGAGACCTCTGCCTGGAGGCCTAGGAGGAAAAAATGGTTTTGTGAGCCCCCCTGCTGTGTGCAGCCTCAGGACTTGTTGCCCTGAGTCCCATCTGGTGCAACTGTGGCTGAAAGGGGCCAAGGTACAGCTTAGGCTTCAGAGGGTGCAAGCTCCAAGCCTTGGCAGCTTCCACATTGTGTTGAGCCTGCATGTGCACAGAAGTCAAGAATTGAGGTTTGGGAACCTCTGCCCAGATTTCAGGGGATATATGGAAACTTCTGGATGTTCAGGAAGAAGTTAGCTGCAGGAGCAAAACTCTCATAGAGAACCTCTAGTAGGGCAGTGTGGAAGGGAAATATGGGGCTGAAGCCCCCACACAGAGTCCCCACTGGGGCACTGCCTAGTGGAGCTGTGAGAAGAGGGCCATGGTTCTCCAGACCTAAGAATGGTAGATCCACCAACAGCTTGCACCCCATGTGCCTCGAAAAGCTATAGGCACTCAACACCAACCTGAGAAAGCAGTCTGGAGTTGGGCTTTACCCTGCAAAGCCACAAGAGCAGAGCTGCACAAAGCCGTGGGAGCCCACTTCTTGCATCAGCATGTCCTGGATGTGAGACATAGAGTTAAAGGAGATTATGTAGGAGCTTTAAGATTTAATTACTGCCTCACTGGATTTTGGACTTGCACAAGGCCTGTAGCCCCTTTGTTTGGCCAATTTCTCTCATTTGATGCCTGTACCTGAATTGTATTTAGGAAGTAACTAATTTGCTTTTGCTTTTGATTTTACAGGCTCATAGGCAGAAGGGACTTGCCTTGTCTCAGATGAGACTTTGGACTTCAACTTTTGGGTTAATGGTGGTATGAGCTAAGACTTTGGGGGACTGTTGGAAAGGCATAATTGTGTTTTGAAATGTCAGGAAGTGAGCTTTAGGAGGGGCCAGGGGCAGAATAATATGGTTTGGCTGTGTCCCTACCCAAATCTCATCTTGACTTGTAGTTCCCATAATCCTCACAAGTCATAGGAGGGACCTGGTGGGAGACAATTGAATCATGGGGCAGTTTCCCACATGCTATTCTTATGATAATGAGTAAGTTCTAATGAGATCTGATGGTTTTATAAGGAGCTTCCCCCTTCACTTGGCTCTCATTCTTCTCCTTCCTGCCACCATGTGAAGAAAGACATGTTTGCTTTCCCTCCCACCATGACTGTAAGTTTTGTGAGGCCTCTTCAGCCCTCCAGAACTGTGAGTCAATCAAACCTCTTTTCTTTATAAATTACCCAGTCTCGAGTATTTCTTCATAGCAGCATGAGAACAGACTAATACAAGGAGGAAAAAAAGATTATGTTTCTTTCTTTTTTTCCTTTTTTTCTTTTTGCTTTATCTTCCTCTCAGTGTGAACACAGCAAGGTTTCAGTCTGTAGATTTTCCATCACCTGCAGAATCAACCCCATCACTTCCCTTTCACTCCCTTAAGAGACAGCAGAATTATCTGATTGGCATCCACCTGGGTCCCAAACACATGGGCCTTTCTCTGAGCTCAGAAACATACCAGCACCTTCTGTCCAGTCCTGCCTCCTGGAGGCTTGAATCTCAGTTGTACAGGGCTCCACTTTCAAGCTTCTATGTTTCAATAATTCTTCTCTGGGTTCTCCCAATCCCAGGGATGGTATCTGCTTCCTGAGTTTGTTCCCTCTTTAATATTTTAGTGTTATCTTCTTCCTTTTCAGTTTGTCAATACCTAGCTAACAATAGTTTATTTTATATAAAATCTTTTATGTTAAAATAAATGTATAGTCTCTGTTTCCTGACTGGTTTCTGCCGGATGCAATGATGATATTTTTTCAATGCAGTTTTGTTTGTAAGATTTCGCCTCAGGCACTCACACCTCAAATACTTTCAATGAATATTTACTTGTCTATTGTACATGGGATATTTGTATGTTGGGCACAATACCAGAAATCTCATCTTCTTCTGATTCAGTAGAACATTCGCCAGATCAATATTGTTAAAAGGAAAGTTCTATAGTAGAAAGAAAAAAACCTAGATTCACAGAACACATCTTTCCAGGAAATTATATGTTCTATTAATGACATTAAGAACTGTTAGAAGTTTCTGAGTAATCATTGTCTGGAACACAAATAGAGAATCACATCTCTAGGAAAGCCACCTTATCTCATTTAGCTCAAAAACCTCAATTAGATGTTGTGGAAATAGGTATTTTATTAGTCAGGTTTCTCCAGAGAAACAGGACCAGTATAGTAATGTGTTTTTTAATGAAGGAGATACATTCTGAGAAGAGTCATTAGGTTATTTCATTGTATGAACATCATAGCATGCACTTACACAAACCTAGATGGTATAGCATCCTATATATACAAGCTATGTGGTATAGCTTTTTGTTCCTAGGCTATAAACCTCTACAACATATTACTGTACTGAATACTGTAGGCAATTGTAACACAATTGTAAATACCTGTGTGTCTAAACTAGTAAAGACAAAAGGTACAGTAAAAGTAAAGTAGCTACACTAAATTTATTTTTTAAATTATTTCTTCAATAATTGCCTTCTATTATTGAAAGTCAAAAACCTACAAATTATTGTAATTTTTCACTTTATAAACTTTCAATTTTTAAAAACTTTTTGACTCTTTTGCAGTAACTCTCAACTTACAGTACAGATATGTTGTACAGCTGCACAAAAATATTTTATTTTTTATGTCTTTATTCTATAAGCCTTTTGTTATGTTGGGTTTTTAAAAAATATTGTTTTGTTTTACTTTCTAAACTTTTTTGTTAAAAGCTAAGACACAAACACACATATTAGGCCTACAAAGTGTTGGGATCATCAATATCATCTCCACATCTTGTCCCACTGGTAGGTCTTCAGAGGCAATAACATGAATGGTGCTGTCATCTCCTATGAGAGCAATGCCTTCTTCTGGAGTACCTCGTGAAGGACCTGCCTAAGGCTGTTTTACAGTTAACCATTTTTTCATATGCAGAGGGAATATACTCTAAAAGAATAATAAGAAGTATAGTATAGTAAATACATAAACCAATAACATGGTTTTTATAGTTACTACCGGGTATTATGTACTATATGTAATTTCATGTGCTATACTTTTATACAAGTAGCAGCACAGTAGGTTTTTTTTACACCAGCATCCAACAAACACGTGAGTAATGTGTTGCTATGATGTTATGATGGCTATGACATCAATAGGTGCTAGGAATTTTTCAGTTCTATTATAATCTTTTGGGACCACCATGGTATTTGCTGTCTGTCTGTCATTGACTGAAACATGTGCTGCATACGACTGTGTACACACACACACAGAGAGAGAGAGAGAGGCAGAGAGAGAAAGAGACAGATTTATTATGAATAATATGTTCTTACGATTATGAAGGCCAAGCAGTCCCAAGATCTGTCATCTGCAAGCTGGAGACCCAGAAAGCCCAGTGGTGTAATTCAGTCCAAGACCAAAGGCCTGAGAACCAGAGAAACTAATCGTATAAATCCACCAAAAAGACCTTAATTTAAATCTTTATGTCATTTTCTAGTCAGGTGGTCTGGGACAATTTCACAGGGTAGTTAAAAAATGAGTTCTCTTGTTATTTCTCCTGATAATCTCGCTAGATGTTTTTAAAATGTTTAGCATGGGTCCAGCAAAGAGCAAGTGCTCTTGCCGTCTTGGCCTCCCAAAGTGCTGTGATTACAGGCGTGAGGCACTGTGTGCGGCCAGAAGCCTTTTCTAAAAACCTGTTGCTACTGTAGGGCTAACACTGATTGAGCACCTGCTCTTTGCTAGACCCATGCTAAACATTTTAAAAACAGCTAGCAAGATTATCAGGAGAAATAACAGGAGAACTCATTTTGTAACTATCCTGTGAAATTGTCCCAGACCACCTGACTAGTAAATTACACAGAGATTCGAATTAAGGTCTTTTTGGTGGATTGGAAAAACTATGGGCTTTGGGAGCTAACTGCCTCGTTCTTACCTGATTAGATCAATAAACACACTCCAGAAATGTATTCAGGTATAACATATATGAAATAGAAGGCCAACATCACCTTTACTCTGAAAAATATATTTATCTTTACTACTAGGAGTAGAATTATGCAGCTGTTTTATGAAGGTTTAAACTTAAGGAGACAGAAGAATTTCATGACCATAGAGGTTGTTCAACAATTAGGATTTTTCTGTGAAATTTCCAGTAGAGTTAAAGAAAGATGCAATAAAAATCATAGAACAGGCAGAAAGCTCTATAAACTTACTTTTATATGGGATTGGGGAAGGAGAGGTATACAAAATTAATTCTAAGAGGAAACTTTTCAAAGGCCTAAATATTTCATTTAAAAGTCTAAATTCAAAGCTAAAACAATGATACTATGGGCCACATGTGATATATAGATAGACATGTACAGAGAGATATAGATAGATACAGATCTAGATAGAGATATTTATTTAATTTTTAATCAAGCCAGGTAATTCCCTTCTTCCCTAAACATAAAACATGTCTGCCTAAATTAATCACAATAATATTATCTATTTTTCAATTTTTAACACATTTTACCTTTTAAGATAATTCAATAATACATTTTTTCCTTTTTCTATCAAATAAAATCTCTTAAAACCAGATGGTCGGTCTTAATTAATTCTTATCACAGAGACATCTTCATCATAAAGCATTTTTCACAGATGAACAGTATTATATAAGCTCCTTTGTTTACTGAATTACTAAAAGAATGATTTTTCATGAGGGAAGCAGTCACTGTAATTTTATTTTATTTCTTCAACTTCTTTGGCACTTAAAAGCAATTATAACATAGGGAAGCAGTCACTGTAATTTTATTTTATTTCTTCAACTTCTTTGGCACTTAAAAGCAATTATAACATTTAGTCTATTGAGTATTCACTGAAGCAAGAGATATGTTTGTTTTAAATGCTTGTGTTTTCAAAAAATAAATAAATTTTTCAGGATTTTTATGTACTGCAGTGTTTAGTTTCCAAATAAATATTGCAAAGGCCACGTTTGTCAGTAGGCTGTCCATCTGCATGCATAAAACTTGCACTCACCATCAAAACATCCAGTAGATGGAGGTTTCTATTTTATTTCATTTTATTTTAGAGACAGGGTATTGCTTTGTTGCCCAGACTGAGGTGTAGTGGTGCTATCATAACTCACTGCAGCCTCGAATTTCTGGGCTCAAGTGATCCTCTCACCTCAGCCTCCCAAGTAGGTGGGACTAACAGGTATGTGTCACCACACCCAGCTAACTTACCTTCATCCTTCTTTTTCTTATCCTGCTTCCCATCTTACACAGCTAAAATATCAAGTGAAATCACCAGGAAACAACATTTTCTTTCAGAGACAGATGAGCACTTAATGCCTCAATTAGATTTCATCTAGGAAAGATAATATAATTATGACCTATATACTTTGAAAAAATCTTTGAGAAAATGAGCAACAAATGGTGGCATGTTCTCTCTCTCCCTCTCTCTCTCTCTCTCTCTCACACACACACACACACACACACACACATAAATAAATCTACAATAAAATTAAATTTCTTGGAAGAAAAGTTTTCAATTACACAGTTCCTACAGTATGGACAAGGCTGAGTTTAGTGTTGTTACATATTAACTTCAATTTTCAGAGCAACTCTTCAAGGGAGGCTGAGCAATGTCACATGGTGAATAAATGATGAAGACATGTTTGGAACACAGGTTGTCTGACTCTAGGAGCCAAAGTGATTTGCGTTCATCAGCCTCCTTTCCTCCCAACTAAAAAATATGTATTCACAGAGTTTTTACTTTTTTTCTGAATTCACAAATGATTTTTGTATGGTTTCAAGTAAAACACATAGATTCATTTTTCCCTAAATATATAATTAGACAAATACATTCAAATTTATCAAATAACCTTGAACTGGTATGTGTGTGTGTGTGTGTGTGTGTATTTTCTTCAAGTCATATTCTATTTGTATAAAGGCACTGCTTCCCCCTTTATTGGCTGCATGATTAAACATGCTGATTCTTCCTCTTTTGCTTCAAATTATCATTGATATTAGTCTGGTCAAATATATTGAATTATCTTTCGAGTTTATTCTATTTTTGGAATATAGTCCACTGCCTGATGCCAAGATTAACCTCTGTAACAGCTCCCATTTTAAAATATAAAAATAGTATTATTTCCTAAATAAGAAGCATTGAAAATGGCAGGACAGTTTTCATTTTTCCTTTTCCTGCTCAAACTCTCCCTCACCTCCCCCTAATCCATAAACTATATCAGTGCAAGAAAGGGAGAAGTTGAGGAGGAAAGAGGGGGATGGTAGAAGCAATAACTTTTATAATTTTACAAAACTGATTTATTCATTCATCAAATATTTAATAAGTGACTTTTATGTTCCAGGCACTGTGCTAGAATAAATGTTACTATGGTAAGGAAAAACAATACACTATTTTACATACTTATTTATAAATTGATTAAATTCCATGTATTTCTTTTATACAACATGTTTTCAAGTATATGTATACACTGTGGAGTGGCTAAATCTAGCTAAAGGTATGCATTACCTCACATAGTTATTTTTGTGGTGAGAACACTTAACATTCACTTTCTTAGCATAGATAAATTATTATAGACCTTATAAAGGCACTTAAAAAGTTCTATATAAAGATGATGGAAGGCAAAGAAATGCACGATGCTTAATAAGTGCTTTAGTAATTTTTTGAAAGCAAAACAATTTTTACTGTCAAATATATTTGTCAATTGTAAAGCATGCTTATGTTCTGAATTAAGAATTTTTGAAATATTTTAAATCATTTATTCAAGGCAACCAATTAAGCCCATGAAGAGACACTTTTTATAAAAGAGATACATTGATAATGACTCTATGAAAGGCATCTATAATGGCATTTTGATCACAATTTGAGAATTTAATCTCTATACATTGCAGAATAAGAAATCCATTTTCTAGTTATTTTTGCTCAAGCGGCATTGAATGCAGCCTAAGGGACAAAGAATGTGTGTGACCATCAAGCATGGCCCACTCTGAACTTGAATTTCTGCTCAACTCTCAGTCTCTTACATGCTGCAGTTCAGTGGTGAGTGAAGGACAGCTTGAGTGCTGAATGGCAGTCTTCATAAGTTGTAAATATACCATCAGATGTGAAAATGCCACCATTTTATTTCTGAACTTGTAACAATCAATGCAATATTATTTTTCTCCTAAAAACAAATCATTATTGGGATTCCTCACATCTTTCCTAATTGTAATCAGGAGTTATAATTGTCTCACACTTCTGAATCAAGTGAATCACTTCAAATTGCACAAGAATAGCTCTGCTGTGTGAAGTAATACAACAGTTTACTCTTGTGCCATTCAATCATAATATGAAATAGAACATGCTATTCCTCTCTGAACATGTAACAACTAGTGCAGTCATCTGAAAAGGCAGGTAACTCCAGATCAATAAGGCTGGACTGTGGCCTCTATGAAAAAAGTAATAGATAGAGAGACAAAGAGGGAGAAAGAGAGTGTGTGTGTATGTGTGCGTGTGTGTGTGTGTGTGTGTGTGTCAATCAGAAGAGAGACTAATTAGCCTGGTTCATAGGAATTGATTTGGGGTGGAGAAGGGGCAGGAAAGTGATGGTGACAGTGCCCTTCGAAACAACATTCTTTGAAGGTTGTGAATTGATTCAAGGACAAACCTGTCAGGTTCTAGTACTTTCAATCACTCAAAACAACAACAACTAAATATCATTGTCCTGGTGCATTTATGAAACAAGTCCACTCCACGGCTTGCATAAGATTATGTCTCTACTATAGAATGCTGAGTTACACCAAGGTGACGCGAACTCATGGACCACCTTGTGGAACACTGCCCTGATTCATTACAGTTGCCTCTTATTTTGAGTTTAAAATGCTACATTTTGAAAAACTGACATTGTAAAATTACATTTAAAACATTTATAATTCAAAAGCAAGAGTGTAGCTATCAAATATTAGCCACTCAGTGATTATTGGCTATCAGTAAGCTTTTTACACATGATCTTTTAACAAATAGCTAGTGAGCATCTACTATGATTGTTGGTAACTCATTAATATTACCAAAAACCAAAACTGCATGAGTTAGGCACTATTACTATAATTAATGCCTAACCTGTGAAGAAACCCAAAGTTTAGAAAATTTCTACCTATGTGACATTGGGCCAGAAGTGGTGAAGCTAAGATTTAGCACCAAGTTTTCTGATGCTGAAGACTAACTTCTTGTTACTATGTTATTTCACTATGATTCAATAATATTTCAAATGTGAACTTGACTTGAAAATAAATCACAGGTCTGTTGACTGAATAAAGACTACCACTCTCAGGTAAACAAACTCCAAGCAAACTTTTATACATGTGATGCACAATATTGCTTGTGCATTGTGGTAGATACAGTATAGGATGAAGAGACAGATTAAGTGATTGATGAACTTTGATTTTGCCACAAAGTATCTGGGCACAATTTCATGGAGTCTCATTGGATGGGGTTCGGTTTCTTTATCATTCATGATAATAAGAATATTAAATAACAATAAGACCATGTTTACTAACTGCAGGAACCTATTTACCCTAATGAGTATCATAAATCGATACAACTTCATAGTTTTCTTGCTCAGAAACTTTTGTGATTTTTCTCTGTGTGTGTACATGTGTGTAAAATGTAATTTGTTGGATCATAGATAGCACAGTTAGTTTTTATTTTTCTTTATCAAAAAAGCCACAGATTGAGAAGCCATAAACTATTTTGACAAGTATTTTTATGAGATAAAATGTCATATCACATTACTCATTTCTGTAGTGAAAATAATTTGATAGGCAATTATAGTTTTCTTCTGTGTGCTCTTTTGGAAGATGAGACCATTGAGGTTACCTGTGGATCAATAGCACTCATTATGTTGTGAGCAGCCTTGTCATAATGCAATACCTAGGAAAGTGTCTTTTGGAGCTAAATTTAGCTTTGGGGAAATAGTATAAGAAAGCTGGGGGACTTCTAGCCGTGATAAGAGTCGCGAGTCGCTGAGACCAAACTTTCCTTCTTAACACAACACACACACACAGAAAATGGGACAAACTGAACAAAACAACTACTTTTACAAAGTGGAAACAGTAGGAAGCACAGGAATGTGATATTTGAGAAAAGGCAATATAGGGTGAATTCTACAGCCATTCTAGCTTTCTTCCTGGAAGCACTTTATGGACCTTGCTGAGGGGAGGGAAGACATAATAAAAGCACATTGGCCTTTCTGAGTTGAAGTGACAGAGCTAGCAGCTCAGTAAGGTTCAGACAGCTAGAATATATAAAGCAGAGTAGAGAGAAGGAGACTACACCAAGAAAAAGGTTCAGAATCTGCCCAAGGGGTCTTCTTGATTCTCTTACTGAGTAATAACTCAAGTTGGGTCAACCTCCACGAGGATAGCCAAAAAACAAACAAACAAAAAAAAACAGAGATCTATAAGCTGAATTTCACTTTCAACCACAGGTGGACTAACATTCGCATTTGCTCTAGACAGTGTGAAACAAGGAATTAATTCAGTAGAGATGCCAGAGGATTATGCCTCAATGGCAGGATGAAAGTTGCTCGAGAGAAAGTATACTCTAGATCTTCCTTAATAAAACTTCAAAAAAAAAAAAAAAACCCCTCTAATGAACCAAACTCATCCAAAGATAACTGCATGCTGATGAAGTTTCATTATACTTTAAAAGAAAACAATAAAATCTAACATCTTACAATATAAAGTTACCATGTCCAGCATTTTATTAAAATTTACCTTGGGCCAGGTGTGGTGGCTCATCCCTGTAATCCCAGCACTCTGGGAGGCCAAGGTGGATAGATCACGAGCTCAGGAGATCAAGACCATCCTGGCTAACACAGTGAAACCCCATCTCTAATAAAAACAGAAAAAATTAGCTGGGCGTGGTGGCACACGCCTATAGTCCCAGCTACTCAGAAGGCTGAGGCAGGAGAATCACTTGAACCCAGGAGGCAGAGGTTTCAGTGAGCCGAGATTGAGCCATTGCACTCCAGCCTGGGCAACAGAATGAGATTCTGTCTCAAAAGAAAAAAAAAAAGAAAAAGAAAAAAATTACCATATACCACATTCTGTCAAAATGTAAAAACTATGGTGATATGTGACCTATATCCAGAGAAATCCATTTTAAATATGCTCAAGAATTTAATGGAAAACATGAGCTTTAAAAAATTGAAAGAAAAAAGAATCGGAGGGAATTCCTAGGATGAAAACTATAATGTCTGAAATTTAAAAGTCATTCAAAAGATTATCAGCAATTGAGACATTGCTAAAGAAAAAAAGCAGTGAGCATGATAACATAGATATAGAGCCTGCTTAAACTGAAGCACAGAGAAAAAACTATATTCGGCAATATCAAGCAAACTAAAATAAGTGTAATTAGGGTCCTAGAAAAAAAAAAGGAGAGAGGGTTTATTGGAAGTTA
Organism: Homo sapiens; assembly: GCF_000001405.40. Lineage (NCBI taxonomy): Eukaryota > Metazoa > Chordata > Mammalia > Primates > Hominidae > Homo > Homo sapiens. The sequence continues at coordinate 60,012,177 of NC_000016.10, forward strand.
ATTATTTGTTAAAAATTATAAATCCACAGATCCAAGGAAATCCACAAGATTAACAGAAAAATCCGTCAAGATACATCACAATGAAGTTGCAGAAAACCAATGATAAAAACAACATCTTAAATTCAGATTGAGTTAAAAGTACACGATACATAAGAATAAAGAATGGCCTCAGATTTCTCAACAGAAAAAAAAAGCAGAAAAGATACAGAATGGCATTTTAATGTCCCCCAAAAAATAAAAAAGGAATTCTATAATCAGGACAAATGTCCTTCAAAAGTGAAGATTAAAAGACTTTTTGAAACAAAAACAGAAAATTTGTTGTCAGCCCACTGACATTATAAGAAAGACTAAAGGAAGTTTTTTAAGAAGAAAATGAAAACAAATTAATAGTTGTATATACACAAATAATTAAACAATACCTGATATGGGGATTAGAACGCTAATTACATGAGGTTTCTTTCATTTAAAAAAAAAAAAATCCCTGGATTTGGGGAAGGGCCAAGATGGCTGACTAGAAACTGCTTCGGTCTACAGCTCCCAGCAAGAGGAATGTGGAAGGCAGGTGATTTTCTGCATCCCCAACTGAGATACCAAGTTCATCTTACTGGGACTGATAGGCGGTTGGAACAACCACGGAGAGTGAGCAGAAGCAGGGTGGGGCTTCACTTCACCCCGGAGCTGCACGGAGGCAGGGAAACCTCCCTCTCCCAGCAAATGGAAGGGGTGAGGGGTACATGCCAGGGGTACTATGCCTCTCCCACGAATTTTTGCAATCTGTGGATCAGGAGATTCCCTCGTGAGCCCACACCTCCAGGGCCCTGAGTCTCAAGCACAAAACTGGGCAAACCAACGACAGCCGCTTCTGTCAGTGGCTGTTTGGGCAGACATTGAGCTGCAGGAGTTTTTACCTAGTCCAGCGGCTCCTGGAACTTCAATGAGACAGGAGAACAGTGCACTCCCATGGAAAGGTGACTGAAGCCAGGGAGCAAGTGGCCTTGATCAGCGGGTCCCACTCCCATGGAGCCTGGCAAGGTAAGACCCCCTGGCTTGAGATCCCCACAGCCAGCACAGCAGTCTGGAGTCGGCCTGGGACGACGGAGTTCCTGGGGGGCTTCCAGATAGAACTCTCATCTCCCTGGGACACAACTTAGCCTTTCCTGCCTCCTGGCTCTAAAGAGACCACCTTTCCTGCCTGCTGGCTCTAAAAAGACCGGCTGATCCCAACGAGGGGTATTCTCCCAGCACACTACACCAGATTCGCTAAGGGACAGACTGCTTCCTTAAATGGGTCCTTGATCTGTGCCTCCTGACTGGGTGAGACCTCCCAACGGGGGTCTCCAGACACCTCATACAGGAGAGTTCCAGCTGACATCAGGTTGGTGACCCTTTGGGATGAAGCTTCAAGAGGAAGGAGCAGGCAGCAATCTTTGCTGTTCTGCAGCCTCCACTGGTGATACCTAGGTGAACAGAGTTTGGAGTGGATCCCCAGCAAACTGCAGCAGACCTGCAGAAGAGGGACCTGACTGTTAGAAGAAAAATAAATTAACAGAAAGTAACAACAACAACAACATTAACAAAAAAGACCCAACAGAAACACCATCCAAAGTTCATCAGCCTCAAAGATTAAAGGTAGATACATCATGAAGATGAGGAAAAACCAACGCAAAAAATGCTGAAAATATCAAAAGCTAAAATGCCTATTCTCCTCCAAACAATCGCAACACTTCTCCAGCAAGGGCAGAGAATGGGGCTGAGGCTGAGATGGATGAACTGACAGAAGTAGGCTTCAGAAAGTGGGTAATAACGAATTCCATGGAGCTAAAGGATTATGTTATAACCCAATGCAAAGAAGTTAAGATCCATGATCAAAGATTATAGGAGCTGTTAACTAGAATAACCAGTTTAGAGAGGAACATAAACGACCTGACGGAGCTGAGAAACAGCACGAGAACTTCATGATACAAATACAAGTATCAATGGCTGAATCGACCAAGCGGAAGAGTGAGTATCAGAGCTTGAAGACAATCTTGCTAAAATAAGGCAGGCAGATAAGATTAGAGAAAAAAGAATGAAAAGGAATGAACAAAACCTCCAAGAAATATGGGACTATGTAAAAAGACTAAACCTACGACTGATTGGATTATCTGAAAGAGCTGTCCTTTGCAGGGACATGGATGAAACTAGGAGTCATTAACCCTAGCAAATTAATGCAGGAACAGAAAACATAACACTGCAAATTCTTATTTATGAGTGGGAGCTGAACAATGAGAACGCATTGTCTCATGAACACATGAGGACACAGGGCAAAAAACAGCACGTGTTGGGGCCTCTCGAGGGGTAGTTGGGGAGGGAGAACATCATAAAAAATAGCTAATGCACGCTGGGTTTAATGCCTATGTGATGGTTTGACAGGTGCAGCACACCACCATGGCACATTTTTACCTATGCAACAAACCTGCAGTTCCTGTACCTGTAGCAAGAACTAAAAAGAAAAATTTTTAAAAAGCAAATGCTAAGAAAGTAATAAGAATTGTCTAAACATTCAATTAAAAAGCAGAAACTAAGTAGTCAGAATGTAAAGAACAAACTATATGCTTTCTATAAAAACTCATTTAAATAGAATGATATAGACAGCTTAAATGTAAATGTTTTTAAAAAGTAAACCACACAAATGCTAATGCTTCAAATGCTTCAAAAGAAAGCTATAGGGGCCCTGTTAATATAAAAGTAGACACTAGAAAAAGGAATAAATAAAAGGTTACATTTTGTAATGATAAAGGGGTCAATTCTTCACAAGGACTTATAAAACTGAAATGTGTGTGCTCATAATAGAGATTCAAAATGTATAGAACATATATTGATAGAAAAAAAAGGACAAACATAACTACATTTATAATGATATATTTCATACACGTCTCTCAGAAAATCATAGAAAGTAGACAAGCAGTAGGGATATAGAAGATGCGAACACTGTGAATACATGTAAAATAATTGAAATTTATAGGATACAGAAGAACTATGAACATCATTAAGTAGAAGTGTCATCTTTAGAAATGCCATATGACCAAAAAAAATTCACATATTTTTCAAATGCTTCTGCAAGTGTATCAAGATAGAGTGCATTCTGGGTCATAAAATGAGTCCCAACAAAATTAAAAGCATGAAAATCATACAGAGCATATTCTTTTATCACAACATAATTAAAATAGAAATCAATAACAGAAAGATATCTGAAACACTTTTATATATTTGAAAATTAAACAATGGATTTTTTTAATAACCCATGGGTCAAAGAAGAAATCAGAATGAAAATTAGAAAATATTTTGAAACTGAAAGAAAATGGAAATAGGGCATATCAAAAGTTGTGATCTACAGTAAAGCAGTGCTGTACTAGTCTATTGTCATATCGCTATAAAGCACTGCCTAAGACTGTAATTTTAAAAGGAAAGACATTTACTTGACTCATAGTTCTGCATGGCTGGGGAGGCCTCAAGAAGCTTACAATCATGGCAGAAGGTGAAGGGAAAGCAGGCACCTTCTTCACAAGGAGGCAGGAGAGAGAGAGAGAGAGTGAAAGTGAGAGAAAGAGAGAGTGAAAGAGAGAGAGAGACAGAGAAAGAGAGAGAGATGCAGGGGAAACTGCCACTTGTAAATCATCAGATATTGTGAGAACTCCCTCACTATCATGAGAACGGTATGGGGGAACCCCCCCACCACCATGATCCAATCACCTCCCACCAGGTCCCTTCATCTACACATGGGGATTACCATTTGAGATGAGATTTTTGTTGGGACACACCCAAATCATATCATTCCACCCCAACCCCTCCCAGATCTCATGTCGTTTTCACATTTCAAAACCAATCATGCCTTCCCAACAGTCCCCCAAAGTCTTAACTCATTTGAGCATTAACTGATAAGTCCAAGTCCAAAGTCTCATCTGAGATAAGGGAAGTCCCTTCTGCCTATGAGCCTATAAAATCAAAAGCAAGTTAGTTATTTCGAAGATCCAGTGGGGGTACAGGCATTGGGTAAATGTTCCCATTCCAAATGGGAGAAATTGGCACAAAGGGACCACAGGCTCCATGCAAATCTGAAACGTGGCCAGACAGTCATTACATTTTAAAGCTCTCAAATCTTCTTTGACTCCATGAATCACATCCATGGCATGCTGTTGCTAGGGGTGGGCTTCCATTACCTTGAGCAGCTTCACCCCTGTGGCTCTGCAGGGTATGGCCCTTGTGGCTGCTCTCACAGGCTGGAATTGAGTGCCTGTGGCTTTTCCATGCACACAATGAAAACTGTCAGTGGATCTACTTTTCTGGGATCTGGAGGACCATGGCCCTCTTCCGATAGCTCCACTAGGCAGTGACACAAGGGGACTCTGCATGGGAGTGCCAACTCCACATTTCCCTTCCACACTGCCCTAGCAGAGGTTCTCCATGAAGGCTCCACCCCTGCAGCAGACTTCTGCCTGGACGTTCAGGCATTTCCATACATCCTCTGAAATCTAGGTGAAAGTTCCCAAAGCTTAACTCTTCTGCACACCTAAAGGCCCAACACCATGTGGAAGCCACCAAGATTTGGGACTTGAACCCTCTGAAACCATGGCCAGAGTTGTACCTTGGCCCCTTTTAGCCAAGGCTAAAGCTGGAGTGGCTAGGACACAGGGCACCAAGTCTCAAGGCTGCACAAAGCATCAGGGTCCTGAGCTTGGCCCAGGAAACAATTTTTCCCTTCTGGACCTCCAGACCTGTGATGGAATGGGCTGCTATGAACATCCCTGAAATGCCCTAAAGACATTTTTCCAATTTTCCTAGCTACTAACATTCGGCTCCATGTTACTTATGCACAATTCTGCAGCCAGC